>NC_000004.12:109678956-109830471 GCF_000001405.40 Homo sapiens
CTCCTCACTTCCCATTCGGGGCAGCCAGGCAGAGACAGTCCTCACTTCCTAGATGGGGTGGCAGCTGGGCAGAGGCGCTCCTCTCTTCCCAGATGGGGCAGCCAGGCAGAGGCGCTCCTCACTTCCCATTAGGGGCAGCCGGGCAGAGGCACTCCTCACTTCCTCCCAGACGGGATGGCCGGGCAGAGGTGCTCCTCACTTCCCAGACGGGGCAGCTGGGCAGAGGCACTCCTCACATCCCAGACGATGGGTGGCCCGGCAGAGACACTCCTTACTTCCTAGACGGGGTGGCGGCCAGGCAGAGGCTGTAATCTTAGCACTTTGGGAGGCCAAGGCAGGCGGCTGGGAGGTGGAGGTTGTAGTGAGCCGAGATCACGCCACTGCACTCCAGCCTGGGCAACATTGAGCACTGAGTGAGCGAGACTCCGTCTGCAATCCCAGCACCTCGGGAGGCCGAGGCGGGCAGATCACCTGAGGCCAGGAGCTGGAGACCAGCCCGGTCAACACGGCGAAACCCCGTCTCCACCAAAAATACAAAAACCAGTCAGGAGTGGCAGCACGTGCCTGGAATCCCAGGCACTCAGCAGGCCGAGGCAGGGAGGTTGCAGCGAGCCGAGATCATGGCAGTACAGTCCAGCCTCGGCAAGAGAGGGAGACTGGGAGACCGTAGAGAGGGAGTGGGAGAGGGGGAAACAAATTTTTGTTCTTTGTAAATTATGGGGTCTGTGGTATCGTGTTATAGAAGCAGAAAGTGGACTAGTGGACTCAGACAAGCAGTTACTTTAGAAAGCTTGCAATTATGAACTTTCTCTCCCGCTTTGAGGTATAATTTTGTTGTTGTTGTTGTTGTTGTTGTTGTTTTTGAGACAGAGTCTCTCTGTGTCACCCAGGCTGGAGTGCAGTGGTGCAATCTCGGCTCACTGCAACCTCTGCCTTCTGGGTTCAAGCAATTCTCCTGCCTCAGCCTCCTGAGTAGCTGGGACTACAGGTGTGTACCACCATGCCCAGCTGATTTTTGTATTTTTAGTAGAGACGGGGTTTCACCCTGTTGGCCAGGCTGATCTCAAACTCCTGAACCCAGGTGATCCACCCACCTTGGCCTCCCAAAGTGCTGGTATTACAGGCGTGAACCACCTCACCTGGCCTGAGGGTATAAATTTTTTATCACCCAGACCTGTCTTCTCAAGGACTTGGGAGTCTCTCTTTGAAATGTTAACGTTCAAGGACATAACTCTGGCTCTTACTCCCAACCCGTGGGTGCCTGGCTCTGACTTGCATCCTGTCATAAGGTATGAGAAGTTTATTTCTCTTCTGGATAGGTACCAGTTAACAAACCCAGATGGCCCAGTAACATTAACCAACTATCCACTTTTTGTAAATTTTCATTTCCCTGACTCTGTTCAAGCCCCTGCTGTTCACCCTGCCCATTCTGTCATTCTTTCTTTAAAACAGTCATCTCTGCACAAATTGAAGTTGAGTTCAGTTCACGCTGGACCCTATTGCAATAGTTATTAATAAAATTTACCCTTGCTGTTTTAGTGCCTAGCTTTGCCTATCTTCCATCTATGCCTTTTCTCTGTATGTATATGTTTTATGTACCAATACATTTTTCATTAACAAAAGGACTCTGACTCTTCTACAGATCTCAAAGCCTAAAAGAGAACACCTAGCTTTCACCCCTCTGTGGCAGCTATAGCCTAGACTATGGAAGGGGGTAAAGACCACAGCAGTCTTGAATTGGGTAGTGATGGAAGAAAAATAACTTCAGGACTACTGACACAAACTGGAAAACTTACTGGGCTGATACCAACTCTAGACATATGTCTCTCTTGTCTGCAGTTGTTTGCTGCTGCCTGGTGGGAAGGTCCATCTTCCCTTCCTCTCACCTTGTCCTCCCTCAGGTTCTCTTAACAGTGATAATGAACAATTACAGCTCTCAGAAGGGTATCAATCTGAGGGACTTCTCATAGCAGAGCCTAATTTTATATGGACTTATAAACCCATGGAGGAGGTGGGATGAGGGAAGTCTATAATCAAGAGAACTTTATATTAAAAACTCTGAAACCGTAACTCCTGTAAGAGTTGAAAAATAATTTTCCCTTTACTCTTAGTTCTTAGCTGGGATGGACCCCTGTGATAAGAGAGATTACTAAGAAGAAAACAAACAGTAGTTTATTAATGTGTATATTCCATAGACACATGGGAGGTATCCAAGGAATGAGTAATTCTCAAAGAGGTGGCTCTGAACCTCAGCTGATAGAGCATCTTCTACAAAGAATAATACATTTTTAGAGTTGTGACAAGTCAAAGGAAAAGGTCCTTGAGTCTCTGGGGTCAGCAAATTGTGGAAAAGCAAATAAGTTGGTTAAAGGTAGTCAAAAGCTACTAAAGTTTGTCTGTAGATTCCTCTGGTGCAGTCTCCAAGCTGAAAAGGGTCTAAAGTTGTCTCTGGCGATCTACCTTTGTTCTTTCTGGTAGAGAGTGTTACCGGGGGTCCTTGCTCCCAGAACTCCCAAGATGGTCGTGGGCCACTTCCAAGATGATGGCAAGCCTCGTGTTCTCTGACCTGGGGTTCTTGGCCTCACGGATTCTAAGGAACGGAATCTTGGGCCATGCAGTGTTACAGCTCTATTAGAAGTCGTGGGTCACGGAAGACAACCATGGAACCCAGTGACTAGTGTTCAGCTCAATTAGGACAAACCCAGGCACTTAGCCGTGCAGGAACAAATGGCAAGCCTTTAGCCCGATCTGGAGCGGCAAAGGGGTGCCTCGCTGGATCAGGAGCACAGTGGACACCCTGCTGGATCCGGAAGAATGTAAGTCAGCAGCGAGTCTGCTACGGCGGCAAAACAGCAGTGGTGGACAGTGAGCGAAAGCTCAGCTCGAGCAGTAACAAACACGAACCAGAAGAGTGCAGTTTCAAGATTTAATAGTGTGAAATAGAGTGAAAACAGAGCTCCCATACGAAGGGAGGGGACCCAAAGGGGGTTGCCATTGCTGGCTCGAATGCCTGGTTTTATATCCCGATCCTTGTCCTTCCCGCTGTGCTCTCAGGCAATAGATGATCGGCTATTTCTTTACCTCCTGTTTTTGCCTAATTAGCATTTTAGTGAGTTCTCTGGTTGGGTGTGAGCCAAGTTGCAAGCCCCGTGTTTAAAGGTGGATGCGGTCACCTTCCCAGCTAGGCTTAGGGATTCTTAGTTGGCCTAGGAAATCCAGCTAGTTCTGTCTCTCACGAGGTCTTTGTAAAATTTGTGTCCTGCTTTTGGGCAAAAAGGGAGAGGCCAGAGAGCCTTTCTTGTAGCTGCTTATGCTCAATTGCCTTCAGCTGAAAATAATCCTTATGCCAAAGTCATTTTTTTGGTGACTTTTTTTTTTTTTACCTTGTATATGAACTGCTCTTCAGATCCACACTTTGTTGTTTACTGTGACTCTCTTTGTTGAAAAGTACACTTGAACTGCTTTTCAAATGTATATTACACCTTTGTTTACATGTTTGTACACCAGCTTCCTTACCCTGTGGATCCTAAGATAATATTTGGAAAGAGAATTGGGGACCGAAAGATTTACACACCCTGCGGGAACAATGTGGTGACTGGCTTGTTTCCCTTGTGTCTTTTCTCAGAAAAACCAAGTAATGAGCACACTGCTGAGATGGAACACATGAAATCTTTGGTTCACAGACTATTTACAATCTTGCATTTAGAAGAGTCTCAGAAAAAGAGAGAGCACCATTTACTGGAGAAAATTGACCACCTGAAGGAACAGCTGCAGCCCCTTGAACAGGTTAGGAAGCATCACGGTTGAGTATATTTGAAAATAATACCTAGTGTTTATTGAGTGCTCCTCATGTGAGCATTTTTCTGAATGCTTTCCATATGCTAATTTTCTCCTTTACGCCTCACAAAAAACCTGTAAGTTCAGTGCTTTTATCTTCCTCATTTTTCAGATGAGGAAACTGAGCAACAGAGCTGTATCGCTAATACATGGTAGAGCCTGGACTTGAGCTCACGTGGCCTGTGTTCAGAGCTGCCATCTTAAACTCTATGCCATGCCTCCTCTCCAGAGATCAGTCATAATGTCTCTGTAAATAAGTATAATATGAGCAGGGCAGCACTAGCTGGAGTCCTACCTCCCTTTCCTTTTTAGAGAATAGGCCCAGAGCCCCTGCTGTGCCTAACAGAATTGCAGCTGGAAAGTTGGTAATGGCTAGCATCTAAAGTTAATCAATGGTGTGGAAAAAATAACTTTGATTTGGGGGGATAGTTGGGGAAATTGGTTTGTTTCAAGGGAAAGAATTGCATTCTTTAGACTTATAATCCCATTTGTGGTTTTTATTTAAATGGGAAGGTATATGTGTATCTTTGAATATGAATGGAAAGTTTCTGGAGATGTAAGGAAGTTTTAATAGTGATTACCTCTAAGGGTATTTGGAGGATGGCAGAGAGAGGGACTTGTTTGGTTTTTTTTATCGTTTACCATTTTAGTTTTTTCTTTACTTGTAATATATTTACTTGGATTAAAATTTTAAAATCTAAAGTTTTCCTCCCACCCTGTCCTCCACACAGTTACTATATTCTCCACACTTATGAATCATTTCAGATTTCCTTTATCTGTGTACAAACAAATACATTCTTATTTTATTCTCTTTCTCAGAAAAGGAAGCACACTATTATGCACTATTCTCATCTTTTTTCAGTGTATTATAGAAATCTCTCCTTATTGGCACAGAGCTTCATTACAGTTGTGTAATATCTTGATGGGCATATGGATTCTTTTAGGACTTCAGCTATTGAGAATGAATCTGTAATGGGTTTTGTGTATGCAGGTATATATTCAGAATGAATTCCTAGAAGTAGAATTGCTGAGTCAAATAGGCCTCTAATTTTAGTTGGGTTTCAGAGGATGACTTCTGAGTTTTCAATTGTATACTTTACTATTCATTTTTCCAAGGGCAGTTATTACCTTTATAGTTTTAAAGAGTTTTATTAGTGAGCTGATTTGAAATGAGCATTTACTCATTCATGTATGTTTCATAAATTGTTTTTCCATATGTCTGACCTCTTCAAAGTAATGCAGATGTGCATTTGTTCAAGAGTTCCTCTTTTCTTTTTTTTTTTTTTTGACGCAGAGTCTTGCACTGTCGCCCAGGCTGGAGTGCAGTGGAGTGATCTTGGCTCACTGCAAGCTCCACCTCCTGGGTTCACGCCATTCTTCTGCCTCAGCCTCCTGAGTATCTGGGACTACAGGCGCCTGCCACCATGCCCGGCTAATTTTTTGTATTTTTAGTAGAGACGGGGTTTCACCATGTTAACCAGGATGGTCTCGATCTCCTGACCTCGTGATCCGCCCACCTCGGCCTCCCAGAGTGCTGAGATTACAGGCGTGAGCCACCGCGCCCGGCAAGAGTTCCTTTTCATCTTGCTTTTTGTCCCTTTAGTTGGTGTATTTGTAAACAGAATTAACAGTTTTTCATTCCCCCTCAGGTGAAAGCTGGAATAGAAGCTCATTCGGAAGCCAAAACCAGTGGACTCCTGTGGGCTGGATTGGCACTGCTGTCCATTCAGGGTGGGGCACTGGCCTGGCTCACGTGGTGGGTGTACTCCTGGGATATCATGGAGCCAGTTACATACTTCATCACATTTGCAAATTCTATGGTCTTTTTTGCATACTTTATAGTCACTCGACAGGTGAGTAGTTTGTTAGGAAAATGGTAAGTTAGAACATCTTTGCAAAGAATGTCTTATCTAAGCAATGAGCAAAAAAGCCTTTTTATTTACTGAATTACTGCCATCTGGTTTTTATGAGCTGGTAAATTTTTTATTGTTTTTCACAAGACTGAATGAAGACTCACAACACAGAGAAATTATATATAACTTCTTTGGAGAAGTAATTAGTGTAACACACAAATTCCTCCATTGGGATAAATATGTGTTCTCTGTGCCCTCATTTATAAAAAAAACTGAATTTGCATTGCAAAACATTCAGTAACATCAGCTTTGCCTCATGGTTATTTAATATGCCAAAAATCTCCCTTTTCTTATTTCTTCCTTCTTCTTTCCCATTATGTGTAATTTCTCTTCCCAGCTTGCCTGTTTTTGAAAGGAGCAGCAGATCTTAAATGAGACTAAATGTTTTGTGTTGGCTTATGCTTACTCTCATGGCCATTGCAAATATTTCACTCATTCATCTGCCTTCTTTTGCTTTGGTGTTGCTGAGTCAAGTATCTTTCTTGCAGAGGCATTATGTTCATTCAAAACATGTTGTTTTCTTCTCTCTCTCTTTTTTTTTAAGGATTATACTTACTCAGCTGTTAAGAGTAGGCAATTTCTTCAGTTCTTCCACAAGAAATCAAAGCAACAGCACTTTGATGTGCAGCAATACAACAAGTTAAAAGAAGACCTTGCTAAGGTATACTACAAATACATCTTATAGCTGGTTTGTTTGGGAGCCAGAACTTAGTATCAGGGAAGTATAACTGGTGGCTCATCCTCACAAATTAAATCTTGGTCCTAGATTTCTGTGTGTTGTGGGATTGTTCATTGAAATGGTTGACATATTTCATATTAATTTCATATCCCAGTTTTACTCTTCTGTACATGAAGATAGCTTTAAATATGTGTGTTAAAATTTCTTAAATGACTTGAGATAGTAAAATAAAAGTTTTCACTGGAAATCCATTTCTAAGCAAATAATAAAAAATAGCATTTTAGGAAGGTGAACACTGTGATAAGGAACTTAAGGCATTTATAAGTTTCTTGTCCCTAAAGATAGAAGAATCATTATAGTATTCCTCCCTTCATCTTTTTCCCTTCTGAAAGGCACTTACTCAGGTATACACTGCTAAAAAGTGAAGGAACCATGGTACGAACACAAGTTTGATTTCGGAGTCTATATTCTTAAGTACTTTTTCACAGTCTGCTTGTTAGCCAGTTATCTCTGGCCTCCCAATTTACTCATTAACTTTGTTCAGATGGTGACTTCTCAGCACATCACTGGATTTTTCATTTTTATCAGTAATTTCATAACAAAAAAGTTTGGTAAAAATATCCTCCATTGCTCAATGCATGCTTGTTTAGTAGCTGGTAATCAAACCTTTTGTTATGTGTACTTTCTAAATTACTCATCCCTAGAATTTAAAACAGAATCACTCAAATTTTGTAGTCCAAAAATTGAAGGACGTTTTAATTTAAATTTTTTTGAGACAGATTCTTGCTGTTGCCCACACTAGAGTGTAGTGGTGCAATCTCAGTTCACTGCAACCTCCGCCTCCTGGGTTCAAGTGATTCTTGTGCCTCAGCCTCCTGAGTTAGCTGTGATTATAGGCGCCCGCCACCACACCTGGTTACTTTTTGTATTTTTAGTAGAGACAGAGTTCCACTATGTTGTCCAGGCTGGTCTCAAACTCCTAACCTCAAGTGATCCACCTGCCTTGGCCTCCCAAAGTGTTAGGATTACAGGTGTGAGCCACCATGTCCAGCCAAGCCTTTTTAAAAAATGTATTTTATTTCATATAGTCATTCTATAGGAAAAATATAATGCTTTTAAAAAAAATTTGTGGATTCCCTTATATTTGAATAATCCTATCTGAGAAGGCTAAGGAATGTTCTTTCAGCTAGTTTACAAGACAGTGCATTTGAGATTTAGAAGGTAAGCCTAGTGTGATCCCAGTGATTTGGGAGGCTGAGGTGGGAGGATCTCGAGTCCAGAAATTGGAGACCAGTCTAGTCAACATAGTGAGACCTCATCTCTACAAAATTTGTTTTTAAATTAGCTGGACATGGTGGCACATGCTTGTAGCCCTAGCTACTTGGGAAGCTGAAGCAGGAAGATCCCTTGAACCCAAGAGTTCCAAAGCTGCAGTGAACTATGATCACACCACTGCACTCCAGCCTGGGCAACAGAGCAAGACCCCATCTCTAAAATAAAAAAATTTAAATATAACACCTTGTTAATTATGTTTAAGGTAATAAAGTGGAGATAAAAAGATAAAGTGGTAGGTTAAGGGTTTTTTTTTTAAGAATATTAAGTGGAAAACCATTATAAAGGGTATAAACTGTATTTTTTTTTAAGGCATAAGGATGAATTAGTAAACTTAAACTCATCTTTTAAAAAGATCCACATATAAAATTGAAATATTTATATCCCGTCACTTTGGGAAGCCAAGGTGGGCAAATCACTTGAGTCCAGGAGTTCAAGACCAGCCAGAGCAACATGGCAAAACTCCATCTCTACAAAAAATACCAAAAAATATTAGGTGGGCATGGTGGTGGGCACCTG
The DNA here is from genome assembly GCF_000001405.40 of Homo sapiens. Lineage (NCBI taxonomy): Eukaryota > Metazoa > Chordata > Mammalia > Primates > Hominidae > Homo > Homo sapiens. The sequence continues at coordinate 109,687,237 of NC_000004.12, forward strand.
TGGTCCTAGCTACTTGGGAGGCTGAGGCAGGAGAATGACTTGCACCAGGGAGGCAGAGGTTGCAGTGGGCTGAGATGGTAGCACTGCACTCCTGCCTGGGTGACAGAATGAAACCCCATCTCAAGAAAAATATATATATATTTCAGCCATTTGCCACTAATAGTTTAAACATTTTATTGCTGTAAGGAGACGCTAAGTTTATAGAATTCCTCTCAAGCAGTAATGTTGGTATGTTTCTCTTCTTTCTGATCACATGCTTTTTCTTTTTCCCATGACAGGCTAAAGAATCCCTGAAACAGGCGCGTCATTCTCTCTGTTTGCAAATGCAAGTAGAAGAACTCAATGAAAAGAATTAATCTTACAGTTTTAAATGTCGTCAGATTTTCCATTATGTATTGATTTTGCAACTTAGGATGTTTTTGAGTCCCATGGTTCATTTTGATTGTTTAATCTTTGTTATTAAATTCTTGTAAAACAGAAGTATTGTTTGAAGTTCTCAACTGAGATTTTTACTTTTTGGATTTTTATGACTTGCTAATGTTAGAAAGGGCTTGTATGCGTCTATCAAAGCAACGGTGGCTGCTGTTAGCTAAAAATCCTTGTCAGCTTGTCCCACGTTTATTCTCTATGTGGAGGTGAAAGGGTCTGTGCTTGGCATTCACTTCCATTCTTAGACTTAATTTGGAATCATCCTTTTAAAAAAATCAGAGACCAGGTCTTGCCAAATCAAACTCCTGGGCTCAAGCAACCCTCCTGCCTCAACCTCCCACGGAATCGTCTTGTCATTAACTTCTTTTTTTAATATGCAGTAGTTGGGAGTAAGATCTTTTTATCATTTATCAAAAAGGCATAAATGTTCCACCAACCATAAAGTATAGTTGGTACTTTTTGAACTTCAACTGAAACAGTGTATATAAACGATTGCTTTTGAACCTGCAAATCACAAGTTTCAGGTATCGAAGCCAAAACAGTTAACTTTCTTCAGCCTCTGGCAGATTATTAACAAAACAGTATTATTCAGATTCTATATCATATTAATAAGAATTGAACCTTGAAAGTAACATCTGTTATTCTATTAATGTGATTGTGTGTGAATGGGTCTGATGACTGTTGGACTGTTTGTAGGAACTTAACATGGAAGATGCTGACAGAATCAGATTTTGCAGGTGTTCAACCTATAGTGGCTAAGAATTATGTTTTCTATTTCATCCTCAGAATGCCATACAACAATTCTGGAATGCTGATTTTTTTTAAAGTAGGAATTAAAGTCATACACAAAATGTGGTAATTCATATGTAGATGAAATATTAAACATTTAAATGACCGAGTAAAAAACATCTATCAATTACACAAATGAACAAGAATGTGAGTTAGAAAAATGTAATAAAATATGAATTTCGAATATTTTATTAAGGGATGATTTAATTCCTGGATTTCAAAAACCTTTAAAAACATCAAACAATAAACTTTTATAAAAAAGTGACAAAATACAAGTTAAATCAGCTAGATTTTTGTGTAACCCTGCAGTTTATTAAAAAATAATACAAATGCTTATAAATTTTTATTTATCTAATTTCCTGAGGATTTTGTTTCTCCATATCAAACCCTTTCACCATGGCCAACATGAACTTTTTTTTTTTTTTTTTAAGGCAGTTCTCTGCTAGGCATTAAACTTTAAAACATTTGAATCATTAGACCATAATGCTTCACCCTAACGATATTTATATAAAAGGAAGAGAAAGACATTTTCTTTTTTTTGAGACGGAGTTTCACTCGTTGCCCAGGCTGGAGTGCAATGGCGCAATCTCGGCTCACCGCAGCCTCCACCTCCTGGGTTCAAGTGATTCTCCTGCCTCAGCCTTCCAAGTAGCTGGGATTGCAGGCATGCGCCGCCATGCCTAGCTAAATTTTTTTTTGCATTTTTAGTAGAGACGGGGCTTCTCCATGTTGGTCAGGCTGGTCTCGAACTCCCGACCTCAGGTGATCCGCCCACCTTGGACTCCCAAAGTGCTGGGATTACAGGTGTGAGTAACCACGCCTGGCTGAGAAAGCCATTTTCAATACAGAGTGTAAAATTAGATAGCCTCTATTAATTAATTAGATTTTGGAAAGAAATGCAGCTTTTTAGTTAGCATTGAGGCAAAACAGGGAACCTGCTTCTTTCCAATTGCACTTGGGTCTTTGCAAAAGTCCACTCGGCGCTGAGAAACTTTCCTGTTCACCAGTGTGAGGAGTTCTGTGAACTCTAAGGAGGAGCCATATTTTCCCAACATCTCACACAAATCTTGAATGTACCATGAGCCGTTCACAGTTTCCCGGTGAGAATAATATCCTAAAAAAGTGAGAAGGAAAATGTTGCTGCAGTTTTCTGGCTTTCAATTACTGTGTGTATTCTTTTTAGTTACAGAAGTATAAGTTCTTAAAAATCCTTAGAAGAGTCTTAAGATGTGTCCATGATATAAATGGCTTTTAAATTTTTTTGACTCTTTTCAAATGGGAAAAGAGATTAATTCTATATAGTTTTATATACACGGGGTTAATTCTGTATAATTTCTTCCATTTCCTAAAAAATTCCCAAGATAGACAATGATTGAGACATGAGATTACTAAAAAGAAGTCAAAATTATTTACTACAAAAGCAAAGAACCATTATCAAAATATTTTTCAGTTGGGCATGGTGGCTCATGCCTATAATCCCAGCACTTTGGGAGGCTGAGGCAGGCAGATCACTTGAGGTCAGGAGTTCGAGACCAGCCTGGCCAACATGGTGAAACCCCATCTCTACTAAAACTACAAAAATTAGCTTGGCGTGGTGGCAGGCACCTGTATTCCCAGCTACTCGGGAGGCTGAGGTAGGAGAATCACTTGAACCCAGGAGGCAGAGGTTGCAGTGAGCTGACATTGGACCACTGCACTCCCGCCTGGGCAACAGAGTGAGACTATTAAAAAAAAAAAAAAATACACACACACACACACGTCTGGGCAACAGAGTGAGACTATAAAAAAAAAAAACGCACGCACGCACGCAATGGCTCATACCTGTACTCCCAGCACTTTGGGAGGCCAAGGCTGGAGGATTGTTTGAGACCAGCCTGGGCAACATAGCAAGACCCAATCTCTACCGAAAAATTAAAAAGTTAGCCAAGCATGGTGGTGCATGCCTATAGTCCCAGCTACAGGGGGGCTGAGGTGGGAGGATTGCTTGAGCCTGAGAAATTGAGGCTGCAGTGAGCCATGATCATGCCATTGCACTTCAGCCTCAGTGACAGAGTTGAGACCTTGTCTCAAAAAAAAAAAAAATTAAAGCTTTCCATGACAATTACCACAATGGCACTACCACCCTCAGTAACTGATGGTAGGCTGCTAATACTAATATAATTAATTAGACTGTTGCTTTACTCAACATAACTCTCAGGAATTATTTTTCTGTAAGGTACTTTACACTTTCATTTATCACTCTGTGCCATGTGGTCAAAGAAATTCTAAGTCTGTGAGCTTCAGGATGGAATCACCATGTCCCAACCGAAAGATCTGACCCAAACCAATCAAAGGTGAAACTTACAGGACCTTAGCCAAGAGAGGCAATTATATGTTTGTTTTAAACACCACACACCTTCTGCAACAGAGTAACACATGAGGAAGTCAGCTCCAGCAGGCAGCGTGTAAACGGAGGCTGCATCCACCTCAGTTATGTTGGTGTCCAACTTCTCTGTCTGATTATCTACTACATCCAAAGGAATGACTGGCACATCGTGCTGGTTTCCCCGACATGCCTACAAGACAAGGAGGAAAAACCCACCTCTTTGCCTACTGTTTCCTTCCCAGTGCTTAATGTGTGCAGTGAATGTGTAAGCCAGTACCCCTTCATTACAACAGAAACCACATTCTGAGCAGTTCAGAAGCAATACATTCAGGTTTGGAGGGCACAAAAGCCAACAAAGTTGTTTCCTTACTTAGGCTTTCTTTTAGTTAATGTTTTAAGAAAAAATTGGCATCCCCAAGTATACATCAAATTATGTTGGTAGAAGGGTATACTGTAGAGGAAAAAGCTTGTGGTTTTAAAATTTCTTACAGATTAACCACACCCAGGGCACACGGTGTTACCTTCCCTTTTGAAAGCTATAGTATTGACCTAAGTGTTTCTGTTTAGGCAGGCAGTGTATTTCCAGATTGACTTTTGCTTGCCTGGCTGCTGCTATAAATTGTTAGGAGTTAAAATGACATCCAGCCTGACCTGAGGAGATACCTACTAATGCACCATCTTCCTTGTGTGCCCATTAAAAAGTGAGGTCTCAAATTTTTACCCACTAATTCTGACTCACTCAGAATTTACATTAAATTTAGACTCATAATTAACATTAAATTCTGACTCACTCAGAGGCTAACATTAAACTCTTCTCATAAGTGACTTTTACAAGCTGAATTGTGTTCCCCAAAAATTCATATGTTGAAGTCCTAGCCCCAATACCTCAACTCTGACTGTATTGGAAGACAGGGCCTTTAGAGGTGATTAAGGAAAATGAGGTCATACGGGTGAAACCAAATCCAACATGACTAGTGTCTTCATAAGAAGAAATTGGGACACAGACATGCACAGAAGAAAGACCATATGAAGGCACAGGGACAAGATGGCCACCTACAAGCCAAAAAGGGAGGCCTCAGAAGAAACCAATCCTCCCCACACGTTCATCTGAGACTTCCAGCTCCAGGACTGTGACGATAAATTCCTGCTGTTTAAACCACACAGTCTGTGGTACTTTGTTATGGTCACCCTATACACGAATACAGCCAGCCAATAAGATTCTGTTGTAGCATTATAAATGCATCAATCAGTTCTGAAATGGTTAAAGAATTATGAGCATCAAAAGAAAGTCCTGAATGATTTCAAATCATAAAATAAATAGAAAATCCCTACTATCCCGTTTTTATAGGCAGATTTTAATCTTCGTATCAGCAGGCTTATTTTCAGGCCTTTTTTCTACTGTCCTTCCTAAATATAACAGAACACCTTTAACCTAATGACATCACCTGCCCAGTCAACTGCAATAAGAGTAAGAGCGAGCCTTTACTGAGGGCGTGCTGTATGCCAGGCACTGTTCTAAGTGGTTTGCATTCATTAAATCAGTCAGGTGATTTTGCCCACACAACCACCCCATGAGGCAGGTGCTCTTTTTACCAAGAATCTAAGGCATAGAGAGAGAAAGTAACTTGGAAAACGATTTCATTTGTGGCTTTCTTCCCACAGTAGCTCATTAGTTATTTCCAATTCTCTTGTGTTTGACAGTGTTGGCCACTCCCCTTTTCACAAAACAATCATGTCATTATTTGTTTCTTGTTTCTCTCCTGGTGTCCATCCTCCTCAGTATCTTCCCTCTTCAGCCCATTCCTCATGGGTGCCCCTCGGTTTTGTTTTATGCTCCTTTTTCAGGCTGTATTCAACACGAGTAAACTCATCTAATCCCATGGCTTCCACGACCACCTCCTGATTTATTTCTCCAGCCGAGGCCACCTGTCTTAGGTTCTACACCTGTATGACCAATTCCATGTCCCACAGACATTCCAATGCAGTTGTCCAAACCAGAAACGAGGCAGTCATTCTTCACTTACAGCCACTTCCTCACCCCAAAACAAGGCTTTATGGTAGGATGCGAAATGCAGTTTCATGTTTGATACGGTTTGAACGTCTGTCCCCTCCAAATCTCATGTTAAAATGTGGTTCCCAGTGTGGGAGGTGAAGCCTGGTGGAAGGTGACTGGATCATCGGGGAGGGTCTCTCATGAATGGTTTAGCATCATCCTCTTGGTGTAAGTGAGCTCCCACTCAGTTCACATGAAATCTGGTTACTTAAGAGAGTCTGGGACCTCTCCCTTGGCACTCTCTTGCTCCCACTCCCAACAAGTCATATGCTGGCTCTCTGTCACCTTCCACCATAATTGTAAGCTTCCTAAGGCCTCACCAGAAGCAGATGCCAGCACCATGCTTCCTGTACAGCCTGCAGAACTGTAGGCCAATCAAATCTCTCTTCCTTATAAATTACCCAGTCTCAGGTCTTTATAGCAATGCAAGAATAGACTAACATAATGTTATTTCATGTCCTCCATGCTATTCATGGAAATACAGAATTGTGACACTGGCATGTCAGGTTTCTCTTTTGTAGTTCAAAATCTTTGGCCGGGCACAGTGGCTCACGCCTGTAATCCCAACACTCTGGGAGGCCAAGGCGGGCAGATCACCTGAGGTCAGGAGTTCAAGACCACACTAGCCAACATGGTGAAACCCCATCTCTATGAAAATACAAAAATTAGCCAGCCATGATGGCAGGTGCCTGTAATCCCAGCTACTCGGGAGGCTGAAGTGGGAGAATAATTGAACCTGGGGGCGGAGGTTGCAGTGAGCCGAGATTGCACCATTGCACTCCAGCCTGGGGGACAGAGCGAGACTCCATCTCAAAAAAAAAAAAAAAATCGTTAATGATGTGCCAAGTAATATTCATGCAAAAAAAAAAATTTTTTTTTTTTTTTAGACAGAGTCTCGCTCTGACGCCCAGGCTGGAGTGCAGTGGTATGCTCTCGGCTAACTACAGCCTCTGCCTCCCAGGTTCAAGCAATTCTCATGCCTCAGCTTCCCGAATGGCTGGGATTACAGGCACCTGCCACCATGCCCAGCTAATTTTTGTATTTTTAGTAGAGACAGGGTTTCACCATGTTTGCCAGGCTGGTCTTGAACTCCTCAGGTGATCTGCCTGCCTCGGCCTCCCAAAGTGCTGGGATTACAGGTGTGAGCCATCACGCCTGTAAAAAATACTTTTATCCCTAAAACCAATTTGGCAGCGGGGAAACAATCTTGGTTTAAGGGGCAATGTGAAAGGGATGAGACAGGATAAGACTAGAAGGCTTTATTTTTCCATTCTTTCCACTGGTTTATATGCTCTCCACCTCCCAAAGAAGCAAACCTAGTCTGATGAGGTTGCCTTGTGCGGCACTCTTCAATCAGCAGGTACGCTTTCCAATGGCTCTCCTTGGTATCAGGCTCGGACAGGGAGTAGCACATTGGTTACTTTGTGAGTCACTTCAAATCTCAATCCAAATGCTGTTATTTTGTAATATAGACAATGAGAGTGTCAAAGAATTATTACTAACAGCTCAAAGTGCAACTATGATTGGCCAGAATTCAAAAACGGCCTGTCCAATTACTGGAGAAAGTTACTTTCAAAACTGGCTTTTAGACCTTTATCACATGTTCAGAATGACAGACTTTATAATTAAGATGATAATGTACTCAGTCTTACCTGAATGATAAATATCTTGGGTTTTCCAACCAGGCTGTGACACTTGTCTCCTTTGAACAAGCCAGTTAATGTCTGAATTTCGATTTTAGCATCATATGCATAAATGTGATTGCCTTCGCCATGGCTCAGGAAGACACACACAAAGCAATCGGCATCTGCGTGGCTAACAGTTGACACTATAAAGGACCCAAAAGAGAATATAGAAATGAAAATATGATGCTTGTTATCTACACATAAAAATTCAGTTTATTAACACAAGAATAAAGTTACATCCACATGATTGGGGAGGAGGAAAATTTGTGGTTTTGTCTTTTTTGTTTTTTTGAGACAGAGTTTCACTCTTGGTGCCCAGGGCTGGAGTGCAGTGGCGCGATCTTGGCTCACTGCAACCTCCACCTCCCGGGTTCAAGCGATTCTCCTGCCTCAGCCTCCCAAGTAGCTGGGATTACAGATTTGAAACCATATCCAGCTAATTTTTGTATTTTTAGTAGAGACGGGGTTTTGCCATGTAGCCAGGCTAGTCTCGAACTCCTGACCTCAGGTGATCCACCTCGCCTCAGCCTCCCAAAGTGCTGGGATTACAGGCATGAGCCACCATGCCCGGCCTACTCTTTAATAAGTGTAAAATATCTGTGATGAAACAACTTAGTCTTTAATCAAACAATATACCGTACTGTATCTTATTTTTTTAAAAAAATCCAAATTTATTAAAGTTCAGAGTAATAGAGTTTGACCAAATTTCATTAGCCTTTCTAAAACACAGAATGATGTGGAAAACATAAAGGGATTACGATAGGGAATCTCACTTAAGATCCAAGTTATTTTGGCAATAAACTAAAAATTTCCTTGAATCAGCAGAGACCTTAGAGCAGAGTGGAAAGACCCAGAAACTGCTGCTCAACAGCTCCCCACGCATTGCTGCACTTTCACTATAGGAATACAGCACTTAGGGCCAGGCGCAGTGGCTCACGCCTGGAATCCCAGCATTTTGGGAGGCCGAGGCAGGTGGATCACTTGAGGCCAGTGTTCAAGACCAGCCTGGCCAACACGGTGAAACCCCATCTCTACTAAAAATACAAAAATTAGCTGGGCATGGGGGCGAGCTACCTGGGAAGCTGAGGCAGGAGAATTGCTTGAACCCAGGAGGTGGAGGCTGCAGTGAGCTGAGATCACACCACTGCACTCCAGCCTGGGGCGGACAGCGAGACTCCATCTCAAAAAAAAAAAAAAAAGATTATAGCACTTAGAGCTTCCAAAAGAGTACTCAAAGCCAGGTGCGGTGCCATGAGACTGATGTCCTCCAAAGCTTCTGAGCAAAGTAGAAAAGCTGGTAAAAGCAGCCAAAGTTAGAATGATGTGCAGTTTAAAGAAGAGCTCTGAAGAAAGTTTAAAGTAATTATGCAAATATAATGGTTGGCATGCAGCGATGATTATAATATAGGTTGTTATAATTAGAATACCTACCCCCTATTGACGCTGTGAGAATTAAAGGAGGTAATGTATGTAAACCAACACTATTTGGAAACCAGTGAGAAAATGAGGCATGAAAGGAGTCAATGAGAAAATGAGCCTGTTGACTGCCCAGCACCTGTAGTACTTGCATTTTAGGCTTTTACTGCCAATTGAAGGGGTCATTTCATTCATTTCTACAAGAGACTGTAACTAGTGGTATGCTAAATATAAACTTTAGAGGCATAATTATTTGCAAGGGTCTCTAAATGTGCTGGGTAACGGAAACACAGCAGCATACCCAAAACCTGTAACCTGTGCTAAATTAATACTTTTTTTGTCACACAAGTAATTACTTGTACCTGTCTTTACAGATAGGATAAAGGACTCGGTTTCATTAGAGGAAGATGAACTATATGATAGCAAAACTACCTACCCTCATGAATTTTGAGCAGTAGTTCTTCTGCTTTAAGATCATTAAAGCATTTCACTTCAAATCCTAGATCTGAAAACCTAGTGGTATATTAAATGAAATGTTAGCCTATAAACTTTTCAAAGTTGTCAAATACCCTTACTTTGGAAGAATCTATACACATTTTAACGACACATAAATTTGCTTTCTTTAGGAGAAAAGAAATGAAATATAACAATGGTGGTTTTCCCTTCATTCACCATGGTCGGAAAGGATTTAATCATAATGACAGCCGATTCAATTTAGAGTGTTGTTGTCTACTATGCAAATGTTAGTACAAATGCAAAAGCCTGTCAACATTTAATAGAACAGAGTAAGGAAAATAACTCAGGCAAGTTTTTTTTTTTTTTTTTTTTTTGAGACAGAGGCTCACTCTGTCGCCCAGGCTGGAGTGCAGTGGCTTGATCTTGGCTCACTGCAAGCTCCGCCTCCTGGCTTCATGCCATTCTCCTGCCTCAGCCTCCCGAGTAGCTGGGACTACAGGCTCCCACCACCACGCCCGGCTAATTTTTTGTATTTTTTAGGAGAGACAGGGTTTCACCATGTTAGCCAGGATGGTCTCAATCTCCTGACCTTATGATCCACCCGCCTCAGCCTCCCAAAGTGCCGGGATTACAGGAGTGAGCCACCATGCCCGGCCAACTCAGGCAAGTTCTTAAGGGAGGCTGCATCAAAGCAAGGCCCATGCTCCAACACTCTTGATCTGTTGTTACCTCATTAGTGTTGACAAGTTATGATAAGTAACTTTTCCCTACATCTAGAAGTCTGGAATTTTTTTAATTTTTAATTTTTTTTAACTTTTCATTTGGAAACATGGAAAAAAATTATTTTATTTTTTATTTTAGAGACAAGGTCTCACTCTGTTGCCCAGCCTGGAGTGCAGTGGCATGATCACAGCTCCGTGCAGCCTTGAACTCCTGGGATCAAGCAATCCTCCCCCTTCAGCCTCCAGAGTAGCTGGGACTACCGCCACCATGCCCAGCTAATTGATTTTTATTTTTTGTAGAGACCAGGTCTCACTCTGTTGCCCAGACTTGTCTCAAACTCCTTGCCTTAAGTGATCCTCCCACCTTGGCTTCCCAAAGTGCTGGGATTACCAGCATGAACCACCACACCTGGCCAAAAGTAATTTTATCACTTAACTGCCTCATCTTGATAGGTAGATAAAACTACTACCTGCGGGTAAGATTGTCTCTATCTGCGCAGGTGCCCCGCCTTTCTGGCAGTGTTAAGTGCCAAAAGAACCTCTCATGATTGAAGATTAAAGCAATTCCTCTCCTCCTGTGGTCCATTTTGTACTTTTCTGCCGGATCAAACATTTCTCTGTTAATGAAAAGTTGAAAAACAATCACTTCAAGTCATATTAAATAATGAGCCCCTCCAAGTTCTAGGTCAACATGTAGATAGAGATCTGAGCTTCCTCCTTGCCAGGCTGATGTTCCATGGGTGTGCTCCAGGAAAGGCCATGCTAATAAGGAAAGTCCTGAAATATCTCTCTGCCAATTGGTAAAGAGCAGCCATGTGCCATCCTGACACATCCCTAACCCTCTGCCTTGATGTCTTTCCCCTGGCCCCCAGGATCCAGCAACCAGGAATAACCACGAGGCTCAGAACCAAGTTCTAGCTCTAGGCTCATGCCATGCCAATTAATATGCATTCTGAACATCACTCCGGGTCCCTCGACAACCAGGGGCAGCACAACCTGCCTATCTACAAATGAGCTCCCCAAAGGCTAAAACTTGGCCTACTCAGTTTTACTTCCTAGCTCCCAGGACCCATTCTTGCTTTGATTTCTGTAGGCTGATCATGACCATCAAAGGAAGAGACCTTTATTAGAAAAGAGCACAGCTTTACCTTTTATAGAAGGCATCTGTTTCTGTCATGTTTTCTTCCCCACCTATTAAAAAAAGTTGATTTTTGTTAATTATTTTTTACTTATGGCAGTAAAATATAGTAGGAACTCCCATCCCCCTTCTGACTCCCAAACTCTTAAGACCCTTCTGTTTTGGTTAGTTTAAAAGCCAAAGTATGTGAAGAAAAGGAAATGAAGGGAAACTGCTTACTAATAAACAAACTATAACAGCTCTATGCTTTCTCACCCCCAACTTGACCTGCAAAATAACAATCTTATAAACAGAAATGGAGAAAATATTACACAAATGCATTCACTGCAAAATATGCCTAGAGTAACAGTTCTGTGATTACGGAGTTGAAATATGAAGTTGCTTTGTTATGCAGAAAATGTTTTTGCACATTTTCTGAAAAAGAATTAAGTCCTACAGGAAAACTGAAATATAGTTTGTGGTTAATGCTGGATTAGCAGTGGTGTAAGCCTGGAAGAGGTAGAAGTTTGGGTGGAGGAAGGGAAGGGCAAGGGCAAAGACTTGGACCTTGGATCTCCTGCATGACACATCTGCATTTCCAACCCTGTAAGGGGAGCCCTCTGCTCTCCATTCTCAACTGGACTCCCTACTCCCTGGACAGCCTTCCACTGAATTCCTCTCTACTCTCTAGAGCAGTGCTATGTCATGGAAGTGTCTGTGATGGTGGAATTGTTCCGTATTTGCACTGTCTCATAAGGTAGCCACTGGCCACATGTGTCTACTGAGCATTTAAATGCAGCTAATGCAACTGAGGAACTCGATTTTATTGTCAATTTAAATGAATTGGCCAGTGGCTTCTACACTGGACAGTGCAAAGTGTGGCATCTTCTACAATAAAGGCCCCATCCACTCATGCATCTGTTTTTACCTGATAGCTCAACAGCTTAGAGGGGAGACAGCAATGAATAAACTGAAATATTAGCAGTATAGCAAGATGCACCCTTCAGTTGAGGAAGAATGACCCTAAAGCATGGACTCTTACCCATCATCTCCTAGCCAAAAGGGTTGGTTCCCCTCTCCTTAGAGATCTCCCCATTACTAGCCCCCATCACCTGATTGATCTAACCTCACTTCTCCTCAAAAAAAATACAAGGTGGGGAATTCAGTTCAAGTCCCTTTTAGCCTATTCCTCCTGGAACTGCCCCAAGCAATGAGACCCAACTAAGACCCCACACTAAGGCATCCTCTGTCTGTACGCCCTAAGTCAGTTTTGCTCAACCTTGGGCATCAGAATTCCTGGTGTGCATGTTAAAATGCAGATTCCTGGATCCTAACTGAGGCAGAATCAGAATCTTGGAGGAAGGAGGTGACAGCTGCATTTTTCACAAAGTGATTTTTACACTAAGGTGTGAGAGCCAAAAGCAACCTCTCCAACTGGTCCTCCCCGCTGCATGGCAGATGAGAAAGCTGTTTAATCCGACCTTTGCCCTAGGTGAGCACAGTAACGAGGTACTTCCTACTCCACACACTGCTCTATGAAGACAGCACAGGGATTTCACTCTTCCCATTTTCAAAAGCTGTCGGAATCTACTGCCTTTTGATAACCTCACCTGCTTATCTTTTAACCAATTAGAGTATAAAGAAACAATAACTTCAAGAAAATTAAATCCATATGTCACAACCATCCTCCTCACATGCCAAAATTCTGCACAACTTGGAAAGCACTCATGTCTCAGTGTCCTCCTCGGTGGCAGCAGGCCAGCGGCTCACCTCCTGTGGCTTCTGCTCCATACTGACTGCTGAGCCGAAGGCGGCTCACAACCTAACTCATGGAAGCTGTGCCAAATGGCTGCTCAGCAAACTAACTCATATCCCTCAGGGTGAAAACACTGGAGATGTATTCTTGCTTGGGTCTTTAAAACTCTTGTTTCTCATATTGCCAAAGAAGTAGCTTCCCAGTTGTTAGCTGACACATTAAAATTAATAACTTAAGATGTGAGTTTGGGTTGTCTCAAATATGCCCTCACATTAGTCAAGACCTACAGGTTTAGGAATGGCTAACTAGTATTAAGTAGCTGCTCAAGAAAATCTGTTTAAAATGACGTTCTGGCCGGGCATAGTGGCAAGCCTATAGTCCCGGTTACCTGGAAGGCCAAGGCAGGAGGATCTCTTGAGCCCAAGAGTTCTAGGACATAGTGTGCTATGACTGCCCCTGTGAATAGTCACCATACTCCAGCCTGGGTAACAGAGCTAGACCCCATCTCTTAATACATTCAGTTTCAAAGTTAACAGATTTGGCAACCTCAGTGAGGGATTTTTTTTTTAAGTTTTTTGTTGTTGTTGTTGTTTGTTAATGCTACGGATGTAGAAAAAAACCTAGGCTCTGGACATCCCAATTCTGATGCTGGCCAGCTGTAACTTACCTTCACTCTCACAAAGTGCACCCTGCATCCTGCAGTACCAGTTAATGACCAGGTCCAGTGGCCACTCTAGCAAACACTGAATCAGAACAAAAAGCTATGGAGACAGATGCCAGGACCTAAGTTCCAATACTTTTCTGGAGTTGATAAACTTTACCCACAGATTGAGAGAAAATAACACATCATGACCACCTTGAGCTGTGTATCCCAAGAAGACAAGCTTTCCAGAAGGGGGCACTTAAGTATCATTATGCCGCATTAATATTTATTTTTTATTACTATCTTTTTGGGATGGAGTCTTGCTCTGTTGCCTAGGCTGGAGTGCAGTGGCGTGGTCTCGGCTCACCACAACCTCCGCCTCCGGGTTCAAGCGATTCTCCCGCCTCAGCCTCCTGAGTAGCTGGGATTACAGGCATGCGCCACCACACCCAGCTACTTTTTTTTTGTATTTTCAGTAGAGACAGGGTTTTGCTATGTTGTCCTGGCTGGTCTTGAACTCCTGGCCTCAAGTGATCCACCTGCCTCAGCCTCCTGGAAGTGCTGGGATTACAAGCATGAGCCACCACGCCCGGCCTGCGTTAATATTTAAAAACCTGGATAAAGTAAGAAATAGCTTTATTGATATGGAGAAAATAAATTTTAATGAAGGAGCTACCCTGTATAACAGATATAGAAATTCCTTTTCATCTGCAATCTACTTATCAAAAATGTGCCCTTCTTTAAACCTGATTCTTGACCTCTTTTCACTTTTTTTTTTTGAGACAGAGCCTCCCTCTGTCGCCCAGGCTGCAGTGCAGTGGCGCAATCTTGGCTCACTGCAAGTCCACCTCCAGGTTTCAAGCGATTCTCCTGCCTCAGTCTCCCCAGTAGCTGGGACTAGAGGCGCCCACCACTGTGTCTGGCCCTCTTTTCACTTCTCTTCCTTTGCAGGATAATGTAACTGCCACCTCCTTATTCCTTAAATCAGCTTAGGTTTTACAAAACTAATCATTCCTTTTTTCACCTCACTCTAATTTGATAGTCCCTCCAGATAATCCTGCCAGCTACCATTTGTTGATGGCCTGATGCCTTAGATACCTTATCTCACAGCTCCACAGCTCAGGAACAGGGACAGAGAAAGTGGGCCAGGCGTGCCAAGGTCGGCAAAGTGAAGCTGGGATTGAAAGCCAGCCCACCTACAGATTCCAAAGTCTCTGTAGGCCCATCCCCACGCAGCCCCTCCCACCCGAGACCGGCTACCTTTCTAAACTTTGTTCAACTTCCCAAACGACTTCGGTCATTCTACTGTCATCGTCTTCATTCACTGCACTCTCTATGAAAATCTACCCATCGGCTCCATCAACAATGTATTTAGTAACCCTATGTAGAGTAACCTCCATCAGGCCTAGAACATGCACTGGGGAGTGCGGTGGAGGAAGAAGAGGAAGGGAGCAGGTGAGTGAAGGAAAGCCCCGGCTTCCCGCCCCTAGAGACTGCAACTGGACCCTGCACTGTGCCTCCAGGACAAGGCTACCTATCTACCTCCTCTACGACCATGTGACTTTTACAGCTTGCCTCTGGAGCACCATTTCCTTTGTGCAGCAAAATATAAAGAGTTCTTAAACAAAGGCACTCTAACCAACTGCAGGCGTTTCGTTCTTTTTTTTTTTTTTTCTTCTTGATTCGAAGTCTCACTCTGTCGCCGAGGTTGGAGTGCAGTGGGGCGATCTCGGCTCACTGCAACCTCCACCTCCAGGGTTCAAACGATTCTCTTGTCTCAGCCTCCCCAGTAGCTTGCGCCCAGGCCTGGCTAATTTTTTTGTATTTTTAGTAGAGACGGGGTTTCACCGTGTTAGTTAGGCTGGTCGAGAACTCCCGACCTCTGGTGATCCGCCCGCCTCGGCCTCCCAAAGTGTTGGGATTACAAGGCGTGAGCCACCACGGCCGGCCAACTGCAGGCGTTTCGACCTTTTTGTTTGTTTCACTCTGGCCAGGCTTGAAGTTTCTAAACTTTACCAGTAATAAGTGACAGAACGTACGCTCTTAGCAGTTGATTACTTTGCAGAAAAAAGTTATTGTGGTTTTGGCTCAAACCGACAGACAGCAGCAGGTTTCCTGGATGAAGAAGAGAGATACCGGGGTGTGCTGGCCGCCAGGAACTGGCCGCCTCCAGCTGAAGCCCGGGAGGACCCAGGGTCTTGGCCCGGGCACCCCGCGGGCCTGTTATGTTTTCATTATGACTCGGCGGAACAACCCCTCCTTTTCACTTTTCGAAGTGAGCAAACAAAAGATCCAACCCCCAACATTTCAAACGGCCAGGTGTGGGGGAACGCCAGGCCCGCGTGGGGACAGCCTTTTAAGGTTTAAACAGCCGGGGCGCCCCGAAAGCGCTCATCGCCCCGGAGGACAAAGGCGGCAGGGGCACGCCCCGGCGCCGGCGTCGCTACTCGGGACCGCCAGGAGGCGGCAGCCAGGTCCCCGAGTGTTTCTTAGACTGAAGCGCGAAACCGTCCCCACCCGCCCTGAGCGCTTCAATCCAAGAGTGCAACTTCTCCAGGCCGCCCTGCAAAGCCGAAGGAACCCGCGGCCCCACTCCGGTCCGCGCGCCCGGTCCACTAACCCTCGTTTCCCCTCCAGCCGGAGCAAGACGCAGACCTGCTCGGTGCCCAGTCGACGCCCCCTGCCTACCTGCCGGGTGCCCCCTGCGGAGCCCCGAGGCCGAGCTCATTGCAGCCAAACGCGCAGCCAGACACCTTGCCCTCCTCTTCCTGAAGCCACAGGCTCCCGGGCCCGGCCCCGCCCTCGGCCCTTCCTCGGCGGCCCCGCCCCCTGCCCCCGAGCGTGGGGCCAGTTGGTTCTGATTGCGCGCCGCCCGGGCTCCCGTGGATCGGGCTGGTCCTTCCCAGAGTTAAAGCTCCTCCCAGTCGCTCCGGAGCCCGCGGGGACCAAGAGCGCGGGGGCAGGGAGAGGTACGCGGTCTTCGCCTCCAGGCCCGCTGGGACTAACCGTGCCCTGGGGACATGCCAGTTGCCACCCGGGGGGACACACAGACCGCCTAGCCCGAGGCAATTTCACATCACTTGTGTGAGCTCGGACTCATTTAATCCCAGCTGCCCCAAACATTTGCTATTCCTTACTTTGCTATGCCTGTACTTTCTAGAGGTACAGGCATAGATTGTTTTATACCGCTTAGCAGATACTGCCTGTATTTCAACATTGGCTCGCTTTGTGTCTCTGTGTCACATTTTGGTACTCTCGCAATATTTCAAAATTTTTCATTGTTATTATGTCTGCTGTTGTGATCTGTGATCAGTAATCTTTAATATTATTGCAATTGTTTTGGGGCACCATGAACCGCGCTCATAAAGGAAGGGGAAATTAATCCATAAGCCCTGTATGTGTTTGGACTGTTCCACCGAACTTTCCCTTCTCTCTCCCCCTCCTGGGGCCTCCCTATTCCTGGAAACACAATTTTGAAATTAGGCCAACTAATAATCCTACAAAGGCCTCTAAGTGTCCAAATGAAAGGAAGAGCCTGTCACTTTAAATCAAAAGCAAACATGATTAAGTTAGTGAGGAAGTAATGTTGGTAGGCAGAAAGCTAGGCTTCTTGCTCCAGTTAGCCAAGTTGTGAGTGCAAAGGAGAAAAGCCAAGTCATGAATGCAAAGGAAAAAATTTTGAAGGAAATTAAAAATGCTACTCCAGTAAACACACAAAAGACAATAAAGCTAAACAGCCTTATTGCTGATATGGAGAAAGTTCTAGTTGGTCTGGATAGAAGATAAAAACAGCCACAACATTCCCTTAAGCCAAAGCCTAATCCAGAGCAAGGCCCTAACTCTTCAATTCTATGGAGGCTGAGAGAGGTGAGGGAATTGCAAAAGAAAAGCTGGAAGCTAGCAGAGAGGATGGTTCCTGAGGTTTAAGGAAAGAAACTATCTTCATGACATAAAAGTGCAAGGTGAAGCAGCAGGTGCTAACGTAGAAGCTGCATCAGGTTATCCAGATCTAGCTAAAATCATTGATAAAGGCAGCTACACTAAACAACAATCTTTTGTTTTTGAGACAGTCTTGCTTTGTCACCAAGGCTGGAGTACAGTGGTGCGATCTTTTGCAACCTCTGCCTCCTGGGTTCAAACGATTCTTCTGCCTCAGCCTCCCAAGTAACTGGGATTACAGGATGTGCCACCATGTCCAGGTTAATTTTGTATTTTTAGTAGAGACAGAGTTTCACCATGTTTGGCCAGGCTGGTCTTGAACTCCTGACCTTGAGCAATCTGCCCGCCTCGGTCTCCCAAAGTGCTGGGATTACAGGTGTGAGCCACCGTGCCCAGCCAAAACAACAGATCTTAAATGTATATGAAACGGCCTTCTATTGGAAGAAGATTCCATCTAAGACTTTCATAGCTAGAGAGAAGTCAATGCCTGTCTTCAAAGCTTCAAAGAACAGGCTGATGCTCTTGTTAGGGGCTAATACAACTGATGACTTTAAAGCCAACATTCCTTTACCATTCTGAAAATCCTAGTGCCCTTAAGAATTATGCTAAATATGATCTATAAATGGACCAACAAAGGCTAGTTAGTGACAGCACATCTATTTACAGCATGGCTTAGAGAATATTTAAAGCCCACTGTTGAGCTCTAGTGCTCAGAAGAAAGGTTCCTTTCAAAATATTACTCCTCATTGACAATACACCTGGTCATCCAAGAGTTCTGATAGAGATGTACAGAGACTGATGCTGTTATCGTGCTTGCTAACACAACATCCATTCTGAAGCCCAGGGATCAAGGAGAAATTTTGACTTTCAAGTCTTATTTACAAAATACATTTCATAAGGCTATAGCTGTCATCATGATTCCTCTGATAGTTCTGAGCAAAGTAAATTGAAAATCTTCTGGAAAGGATTCATCATTCGAGATGCCATTAAGAACATTTGTGATTCATGGGAGGTCAAAATATCCACTTACGGTATGTAACTAGAGACTAGAGGGGGAAAAAAAGAAAAACGAAAAATTAAAAGTACATGTATCAGCCACAGTGGCTCATGCCTGTAAACCCAGCACTTTGGGAGGCCAAGGTGGATTGCTTGAGGCCAGGAGTTTTGAGACCAGCCTAGGCAACAATGCAAGACCCTGTCTCTACAATTTTTTTTTTTTTTTAATTAGCCAAGAGTGGTGGCACATGCCTGTATTCCCAGCAACTCAGGACACTAAGATGGCAGGATTATTTGAGCCCAAGTTTGAGGCTGCAGTCAGCTGACTGTGCCACTGCACTCCAGTCTGGGTGACAGAGTAAGACACTCTTTAAAAAAAAAAAAAAAAAAAAAAAAAAAATATATATATATATATATATATATATATATAATATATATAAAATACATATATAAATATTTAAAAATTATATATATTTCAATTGGCACACTGGGTGGTATTTTACAGGCAGGACAACATACCTATCCATTTTATATATATATATATATATATATATATATATATATATATACACACACACATATACACACACACATACATTATACATAGGTATATGCATATATCTCCACATTAACAGGAGTTTGAAAGAAGTTAATTCCAATCCTCATCACTGATGTTGAGGGGTTCAAGACTTCAGTGAGGGAAGTCACTGTAGATGTGGCAGAAGTAGCAAGACAAATAGAATTGGAAGTGGGGCCTGAAAATGTGGCTGCATTGTTGCCATCTCATGATAAAACTTTGATAGATGAGGAGATGCTTTTTACGGATGAGCAAAGAAAGTGGTTTATTGAGATAGAATCTACTCCTGGTGAATATGCTGTGAATTGTGTTTAAATGACAACAAAGGATTCAGGGTATTAGTTGACAAAGCAGTGGCAGGGTTTGGGGGGATTGACCCCAATTTTGAAAGAAGGTCTGTGGATAAAATGCTACCAAACAGCATCACATGCTACAGGGAAATCTTTAGTGAATGGAACAATCAATGGATGGCCAGGTGCAGTGGCTCATGCCTGTAATCCCAGGACTTTGGGAGGCCAGGAGTTCGAGCCCAGACTGGCCAACATGGCAAAACCCTGTCTCTACTAAAAATAACAAAAATTAGCCGGGCACGGTGGCAGGCACCTGTAATCCCAGCTACTCAGGAGGCTGAGGCACAAGAATCACTTGAACCAGGAGGCAGAGGTTGCAGTGAGCCAAGATCATGCCACTGCACTCCAGCCTGAGTGACAGAACGAGACTCCATCTCAAAACAAACAAAAAAATGAAGCAAACTTCCTTATTGCCTTATTTTAAGAGATTGCCAGTCATCCCAGCCTTCAGCAACTACCACCCTAATCAGTCAGCAGCCCTCAACAATACCCCACACCAACATTTATAACTCGCTGAAGGCTCAGATGATCCCTAGCATCTTTTAGCAATATTTTAAAATTAAGGTATATACATTATTTTTTTAGACATGTTATTGCACACTTAACAGACTACACTTTAGTATGAAAAACTTTCATATGCACTGGGAAACCAGAAAATTTGTGTGACTCTTTTATTGGTGGTCTGGAACCAAACTCGAAATCCCTCTGAGGTATCCCATAGGGGGTGGCATATATGTTCCTGTTTCATGTGTAGTCCTTTCCCCAGTGCAAGTTACTTTGTAGGACTTGCAGTAACTTATTTTAAATGTTCTTTGTATATGAAACTTGGGCCAAAGTAAACTGGAGGTAACTCCTGGATTTTTTTTTTTTTTTTTTGAGACAGTTTAGCTGTTGTTGCCCAGGCTGGAGTGCAATGGCATGATCTCAGCTCACCGCAACCTCTGCCGCCCGGGTTCAAGCGATTCTCCTGCCTTGGCCTCCCAAGTAGCTAGGATTACAGGCGTGCACTACCATGCCTGGCTAATTTTGTATTTTTAGTAGAGATGGGGTTTCTCCATGTTGGTCAGGCTGGTATCAAACTCCCGACCTGGTATCTGCCCACCTTGGCCTCCCAGAATGTTGGGATTACGGGCATGAGCCACGACACCTGGCTTCTCCTGGATTTTTCAAATCTGGCTTTCATAGGTAGAGCTAATTCAGGGACAGAACCATGCAGAAATTCACAGAATGATGAGGGTCTCTAGATAATGGTGTTTCCTGGGGAGAGCATGTTGTCCTACCCCAAAAATAGCAGCCAAACAGTGTGCCAACAAGGTGCCATGGGGTGCTCAATGTTGGATTTAATTTAGCTCCTCCTTGGGTGGTTGGCTATTGTAAAAAATTTACTTTGACAATGCTTTCAGATTTGATGAAACGGTGGCTTTATCTTTTGTAATTCCTCTGGACCTTGTAATTTTAAAAGTAAGCAACCTTAGAGTGGGAAAAAAATTAAAATGTGTTAAGGCACCACTTCTAATATATTAAAATAAGTATAATGAATACTTAAGAAATAAGTATAAGGAACTCATCTCATACTATTATTTGGGAGAGAAAAAATCTAATTTGGTAACTTCTACATGTGCCTGTGGTTCAAGTCTTGATGTCATTAGAGTACGAAATCAAAGAAGGGTTTTTACTCAAACCATTTACTGTTCATTGTATGCATAAAATATTTCAGAAATCACTGTCTTAGTAACTTATCCTGCAACAAAGACATGGAATTTCCATATTTCCCTTGTATGGTGGTTGTGATGATTGGGTTAAGTGACTGTGAAGGACTCAGAATACTGCCTGCCATGTGAAGAGCTCAATGAATATTGGTTATTACCATCTTGTTGTACTCGTTGGAAACAGCAGTGGCATTTTTTGGTTTCCTCATTACCTACCCCAGTTGCCTTGCATGTGGCTCAATATTTAGCCATTGACTACAATTCAGGGTTTTCACATTTACACTCTGGCTTTTATCCAGTCTGAATGAGTTATCTGACCACCAGAACTTCCAGTCCTTTGGCCTCACTTTCAGGGTCTCTGAGTCCTGAAAACATTCCCTCGACAAGAGTGGAACTCCAGTTGGCTGACGTTCTACTTATCTGAAAAGAGCAGATGGAAGGAATTTGTCATTTTTTCTCCATAAGTATCTTATTATCTCAACATTACTACTATAGTCTATGTGGTTAAGTATTTTAAAACAATATTTTGTCTACCTTTTTTTCCCCTTATTCACCACTGATCAGGATTTTGTCTAAAAACATAAATACAGAACATTTTCTTGGGTACTTATTTCAGAATTACAAATGTATAATTTTAGCCTCTTAAAGCAACAGCTAGCCACAATAAAATGGCTGAGTGCCTGGGACTGGGAAACAGGCTGCCCAGGTTCTACTCACGGCTTCCCCATTTTATTTGCTGTTAGATATGTGACAGGTAATGCAACTTAACCTCTCATAGCTTCAAACTCTTTGTTGTAAAATGAGGTCCAAATCTATTCCAGAGTTTTTGAGACAGTAAATTGCAAACTCCTATGAAAGTACTGAACCCACAGCAAGCTTTCAGTACATTAGTTATTTTCAGCACTGAAGATTACCTAAACTACTTCCCAAGCTGTGGTCTATGAACCAGCAGTATCATCATCTGAGAACTTGTTAGAAATGCAAATTCTCCTGTCTACCCCAGACCTACTGAATCAGAAACTCTGGGGGTGGGGTCCAGCAGTGTGTTTTAACAAGCCTGCCAGTGAGTCTCACGCATGCTCATGTTTGAGAACCACCAACATAGACTGGAATCCTACCAAGCACTCTCTTCCCTCTCAAAGAAAAATATTCCCACAGCAAATCCATTAAAATTCAGATACACTAAGTTAACTGACAGGATGACTTGATTCTTCCTATATCTGAATAGTTTTCCATAAAAGTGACTTATTGAAACTGGTTTGCCCTCATATCTCAATCGTGTCTTCATTACAGCTTCTCTGTGCTCAATGTCTCCTTTATGAAATAAACAGCCATCTCTGTCCCTGGAAGAAATGTGCCAAAAGATTTTAAGGAGATAGGCATTATTCAAAGGCAATATATTATTTTAAAATATAAATAAAAGTGGAACTTATTAAAACTGAAGGTCTTGGCTTGTCACCTATCATAGGAATGAAATATAGGGAATAAAGTTAAGTTCAGAGATAATTCTACAACTTAAAAATTTTGGTCACTGATTTTGGTGTTTAATATTTTTTCTTACAGAATTCATAGAAATATTAATTTCTATGATGATTCTGATTGCTATACTTAAAACTTGAAAGCCAACAGAGAAATGTTTGTCAAGTTGTCAACAAGGAGATTTTTGAAGGATGTTATGGAAACTGAATAAGTAAGCCTGAGGCAAAAAGTCTAACATCATTGTGACATATATAAAAGATGACACTAGTGATCCCTTTACAGTTTTATTAATAATTATTATTTTTCGTATACCGGTTGCACTGATTCATTTTTGCTCTTTTATTTTTTAGGCAGATGGCTGGTTTTTGTAGGATTAAGCAGTGAGGAAAAACAGCAAACTAAAAATGCTACTTCAAATATAGCAACAGTCACTACATAAGGCTTAAATCAATATATTGCAAGTAATTTCTATGAATTTTGAACAATACAATGTAGTGTATGTGGAAAGATCTTGCCTAATAAGTTTCATTCTACTCCTCAAAGTTACTGAAGTCAGTCAACTATTAATAACAGAATTGTTTTTATAGAAAGATTCCATCTTCTTTACTGTTAGATGTTATACGTGTCTTGTACTAGGATAAAATAATGAGCATTGTGCATCGCACCTTCTGATAATCTCATACTTCTATAAATACTAAGATAAATAATCACTCTTTTAAATTTAGAGAGAGTTGGTTTTAGGCTAACAATTTTTTTTCTTCTTTCCAAGACAGAGTCTTATTCTGACGCCTATGCTGGAGTGCAGCAGTGCAATCTCAGCTCACTGCAACCTCTGCTTCCCAGGTTCAACCAATTCTTGTGCCTTCACCTCCCGAGTGGCTGGGATTACAGGCATGTGCCACCACACCCAACTAATTTTTGTATTTTTAGTAGAGACAGGGTTTTGCCATGTTGGCCAAGCTGGTCTCGAACTTCTGACTTTGAGTGATCTGTCCGCCTTGGCCTCCCACAGTGCTGAGATTACAGGCTTGAACCACCATGCCCAGCCTCTAACAACTAATTTTAATAAGTATTACTGGACTAGTCTACAGGTTCACTGAAAGAAAGGCTACCTGTGAGGATGCGTTTAATTAGCTTTTGCCCTTATATCTCAATTCTGTCTTCATTACAGCTCTGTGCTCAGTTTCTCCATCTATGAAATAAATACAGCCATATCTGTCCCTGGAAGAACTATGTCAAAAGATTTTAAAGAGACAGGCATCATTTGAAGGCAGTATTATTTTAAAGTATCAATATTACATTTCTTGCAAAGAGCTGCTGACAGTTAGTTCTTGCCTTTTTTTTTTTTTTTTTTTTTTTGCTCTTTTAATGAGTTTATTCTGTCAATAGGGAAAATATCAACTTTAAAATCTAAACATATGCCACAAAATTTTGGGACAAATTTTGAGTTGAAGACGGCAGTACAAACTCATGTTTAGCTTTGTACACACATAAATAATTATAGATGTGTACATATGCATGGATTAATATACATACATATTTCTCAACTCTGCTACAAACAGTGACATCCCAGTAGCAACAAGCACATCTAATGCCCAGATCTTGGTTTCTAAGTATGATTCTCCAACAAAAGGAACCAGGGCTCTTTGGAGCAGGGGTTGATTCTAGGGATTCTAGGGTTGGGGCAGGGAATATCCAAGATGAACCTGGAGCATCTTGTAGTGCCAGAAAGTAAGAAGTGCTCAAAAATCAAAAGGATGGGCACATCAAAGGGACATAGTAGCCAACCTGGCAGAACTCCTAATAGCCAAGCTGGACAACTTAAGCAACAAAATAAATACTGTGTTACCCAAAATACAAAATATACATGAGTCCATACTGATGTAAACAAATTAGGGTGGGAGGGAGAAACAAATTTTCCATATAGAAAAATTCCAAATACTACATATGGATATTCCCACTTCCAGGGGGTTGAATGTAATCTTTCCCACCCACCACCTCCCATGACTGGACTTAGTGACTGTTTTCCAAAGAACAGAAGTATGGAAAGGGAAAATAACAGTAATTTTCAGCAGCAAAAAACCAACACACACTACCTTAACCAAGTGTCCAAAGTTAATACACCATCAAGCTGATAGCATGTAACTCCTGACATGATGCAGTGAGAAGGACCTTCACCTCTGGTATTCTTCCTAAAAATCTATAACCCCACTCTAACCATGAGGAAAACATCAGACAAACCCAAATTGAGGAATATTCTACAAAACACCTGACCAGTACTCCTCAAAACTGTCAAGGTTATGAAAAAGAAAGACTGTGGAACTATCACAGACCAGAGGCTAATTAGGCATGACGACTAATTCAGTGTGGTATCCTAGATTGGATCCTGGAAAAGAAAAATGACATTAATTAAAAAACTAGTACAATCTGAAAAATAAAGTCAAAGTTCCGTTAATAGTAATTGCCATTGCTGGTTACTTAGCTTCTGACAAATGCTTCATGGTTAAATAAAAGGTTAACACTGGGGGAACTGGGTGAGTGGTCACAGAAGCTCTCCATGTATCTTTGCAACTTTTCTGTAAATCTAAAATTATCCCAAGTTTTTTTTTTTAATCTGAACATAAAAAACTGTTTCTACTGATTTTTGTATAATTTGTGATCACGAATTATATTTTATAACGATATTGAGTTTGTCCTTTTGAGAAAGCCAATGCTGCTAACAAAATCCATGAATTCATTGTAAGTGTAAAGTTACCTGGACAAATATTTCAATAGTAAATATTGATAAACCATTTTTTTTTTAGAGTCTTGCTCTGTTGCCCAGGCTGCAGTGCAGTGGCACAATCTCAGCTCACTGCAACCTCCACCTCCTGGGTTCAAGTGATTCTCGTACCTCAGCTTCCTGAGTAGCTGAGACTATAAGCATGCGCCACCACGCCCGGCAAATTTTTGTATTTTTAGTAGAGACGCTGTTTCACCATGTTGGCCAGCTGGTCTCAAACTCCTGACCTCAAGTGATCCAACCGCCTCAGCCTCCCAAAGTGCTGGGATTATAGGTGTGAGCCACTGTGCCCAGCCGATAAGCATTAATTATTAATAATGGCTTACAAAACTGTACCTTTTATAAAGGTTTGAAATAAAGAATCAATTGAGGGTCCCAAACATTTAAGTGGAAACCCAGTTTGCTCACTTAGCCACAAGGCATACATGTGCCTTGTCTCACTGGAACAGCTGCCACCAATTCAAGTTGGAAGATACTAGGTTCCCGGCAATGACATATCTCCAAAGTTAGGAACATGGCCCTTTCTCCAGAACATACTTTTCCTTCTGCCCTGTTCTACCTGTAATGACTTACAAATAACCGCCTCTCCCTATGCTGTCCTTCTCTGACTTTGAAAGTCAGTTCATCTTAATAACTTTGGCCATGGGTCACCCAAAGGATATATATGGCTTGAGGTCCCAGGCTAGGGAAAGGTTAACAACCAGTAGTCAGCAAAGACCGGTCTAGGAACATAACTGAGCATTCCAAGAGATTGAAAAGTTTTCAACATTCATAGACATCTTCAGAAGCTGTTGAAGTTTTCTTGGATTTGCTCTAAACATATGGTAATAATTTTCAATGTAAATAAGAGATCTATAAAAGGCATTTATATCTTGCCTTTTCCATCCTTTTGGCTCTAATTAAAGGCTTTTTGAAAAGCAGTATCAAGCACAAATTTTAGTAAGACCACAGTTAGTAAAAGGTTACAGTCTTTAAAAAATCTACAATAAGGAACAAGTGCTGGGAAATAAATAACAAAGCATAACAGCAAATAGTGCCTTGATATATTAGGTTAAATATCTTTTCATTTATCTCATTAAATCCATCTTTTCTCTAACTTGGCAAAGGTTATAGCAAAAGATGACATTTGTCATGTGAGTAGCTCATAAAATGGGAGTGGCTATGCTTCTGAATCGCATTCACATCACCTTCTAGGCATATTACATAACACTTAGCTATCCTGGGGTTGCTCCCTACGAGGTTATCAGCTGATGGTTCCAATTTTACAACTGGAAAAATGGAAACCTTGTCCTTGTAAGTAGTCCTAATAGAAATGTGACTTACTCATATGCTCAACGGGCTACAGAGAAACAACATATTATGTTGTACTTTAATTACATATTATGTGTAATTAAAATAGAAAAAAAAAGTCCGTTCCTTCTAGGCATAAATGTGTATTTAAAATTTCATAGTAAACAAATACTTGTAAGTGATAATTTCCCCATTTTCCAAATAAGATAATGTTGAACAGACATTATGATGAATTTTATATTTGATCTCTTTTTTTGGTAAATGTGGTTGTGAAAATTGAGTTATATATTCCTCTTTTCAAAATTCTCCGCTAAACAAGCACTTGTTTTTGATATTGGTCAAGACATTTGGCATACTAAGTAAGGGAGCAATGCTGGGGAAGATACCTGAGAAGACAAGCGTGCCCTCCCCTCACTATCTCCCTCACTTTTTTTGCTTTGAGGTTTTAACATCAAGATATAAATTATTTTAAGGTCTCAAAATAATCCTTTCACAAAAATAAGACAGTTTTATGTTGTAAAAACATTAGTTATTTGTCAAAGGTATGTTCTTCCATCTTCATCTGTCACTAGCTGTCGGCATCTCCTTTAAAGATCAGTTTTTTCTTCATAATGACACCTGCATGCGGCTCGTTGGCTGTCCAGATATGGTTTACAACCTAAATGTATAACACTGTCAAACAAGAGCTCCACTGTTGTTTCACATGCTGCAAAACAAGAAAATGGGATTACTGTTGGGCAACTGCATTGCTCTTTTCACCTATGTTACACATTACAGCACAGCAACAAGCATATCCCTCGTGAGCACTGAAATGTATGCTAGATGAAATCACCAAACTCTCACAACCTGTAGCATATTTACATACACACATATATATCTACAGATTTCCAGTTTTAGTCTCATGCATCTTATTTTTTGTTTGCATTCAACTGTTTAACCCAATTTTTTTTTTTTTTTTTTTTTGAGACAGGGTCTCACTCTGACACCCAGAGTGGAGTGTCATGGTGCAGTCATAGCTTACTGCAGTCTCCACATCCTGGGCTAAAGTAATCCTTCCACCTCAGCCTCCTGAGTAGCTGGCATTACCATGGCCAGCTCATTTTTAATTTAAATTTTTTAAATTTAATTTTTAATTTTAAACAGACACACAACACCACACCCAGCTATTTTTGTTTGTTTGTTTGTTTGTTTGTTTGTTTTTAGTAGATATGAGGTCTCACTATGTTGCCCAGGCTGGTCTCAAACTCCTGGACTCAGGCAGTCCTCCTGACTTGTCTTCCCAAAGTGCTGGGATTACAGGCGTGGGCCACCATGCCTGGCCCAATTGTTTAAACTAGACAAATAAAAGTCTTTTAAAATAGCACTGATTAATCAGTGTTTTAACTTTCTTTTTATTTGAAAAACATAATCACTAACAGAGTTGTCTGATAATACTCTTAAATTTGCATTTTAAGAAAAAATGTTTTATGTGCGGAAGAAACAAAGTTTAAAAATTGAAATCTCAAAACATTTCATTATGGCCAATGGCTTCTGAGGACTGATCATACATCAGTTAAGAGGCTTAAAGTAAACGGAATCCAATCTCTTTGACCAATGTCCTAATTTGACTTGGGGATATGGGAGCATATAAATCAAAAGTATTTTTCCCCAGTCAGGTAGGTTTATTTTATTTATTTATTTATTTATTTATTTATTTTATTTATTTTTTTGAGACAAGGTCTCACCTCACTCTGTCACCCAGGCTGGAGTGCAGTGGCATGATCTTGGTTCACTGCAACCTCTGCCTCCTGGGTTCAAGTGATTCTTCCACCTCAGCCTTCTGAGTAACTGGGACTATAGGCGCCTGGCTAATTTTTGTATTTTTTGTTAGAGATGGGGTTTCACCATGTTGGCCAGGCTGCTCTCAAACTCCTGGGCTCAAGTGGTCCACCAGCCAAGGCCTCCCAAAGTGCTGGGATTACAGGCGTGAGCCACCGCACCCGGCCCCAGTTAGGTTTTTAAATTTTTTGAAGACTATGAAAAGGTAATTTATTTACTTTTCTTATTCTAAGAAACCTGAAACATCCAGGTGAGATTATCTTAACATGTTACACTTACAGAGATATAGCACAGAGTGGCTTTTAGTTATCCAAATACTTTTCGTTTCAAAATATTCATGTTAAGGAAGAAACTTGTCATTACAAAATCTTAACATTTTCAAAGTTCTCCAAAAGACTTTGCCATTAAGAAACAACCAACCACAGAAGTGGAGAGGCTATGACTATTAAATAGGAGGTTACAAGATGATTGGTTTCACATTCTTCTTAAATCAGAAAACAGGAAATAAATCTATCTATGCTTCAGGTTTACAGCTAGTTTACCTTAGCCAAAAGCTGCAAAGGGATACAGAGGCTGTGAATTCAAGATTACCTGCAGCAGAGATTTCTTCCTTGACATGAATTATTAGGATATTAGAATCAGGGCTATAATATGAGACTATTTGGAGAATACTGTATAATAGACAGAACACAGATTTTAAAGTCAGGCTAAATGCTCACTTGGGGCAAGTTACTGTTTTCTGAACCATCGTTTCCTTCCTTGAAAAATGGGGATAACACTACCTACCTCTTTAGGTTTTTGTTGGCATCAAATGAAAACATGAATAAAATATCTAGCACAGTATCTTATGAAAGTGCTTAAAATGTTATTTTCCTTTCCTGCCTTGCCTCTTCTGATTTCAGTGTATGATATGTTCTTTGGCTTGACAGTAGAGAAATCTTATAACTACCAGTATTTGAATGGTGATTTATTTGTATTTCCACAAATACTTCACTTCATCCTTATGACAACTCTGTGAGGTGAGTATCATCATTCTTTTAAAAATGACACCAAAGGGCCCTTTCCCTTTGCTAGTTTGGCTTTCTATCTCTTCACCATAATACCTCATGGCAGTGAGTACAACTATATGCTGAGTCCCGTGAGTCCTCCTAGTAAATCACTGAACCTGGGGGTCATCTGGGGACCTTCCCAACAGAAACCCATAAGACAAGTCTTCTAGAAATTCCTACTCCAAATCCAGTGTGCTATACTCTTAAATTCACTGGTGGTATGGTCTGAATGTTTGTGTCTTTCCAGAATTTATGTTGAAATCCTAACCTCCAAAGTGATGAAATCAGAAGGTGAGGCCTTTGGAGGTGTCTAAGTTCCAAAAGATGGTAAATGTGATTAGTGCTCTTATAAAAGAGGCCCCAGAGAGCTATCTAGTCCTCTCCACTAAGTGAAGACACAGTTAGAAGGCATCTGCTACGAACTAGAAAATGAGTCCTTATCAGACACCAAATCTGCTAGTGCCTTGATCTTGGACTTCCCAGCCTCCAGAACTGTAGGAAATAACTTTCTGTTGTCTATAAGTCACCCAGTCTATGGTAGCAGTCCAGATGGACTAAGACAACTGGAATCAGAGTTTCAAACTTTAGCTACTTTAGGTTCTTACATGATGACTGGAGATATATTTTAGGGCACAAGGTAGATGAATTCTTCTCTCTCTCAGCCTTAGACACCCCTACTCTCCCAAGGTTTCCTAATGCTTTTTGCTTCTGTGACTATAAATCATTTTAGATTATAAAATCATCAGCTCCTCACCTCAGAAAATTGAAGTCTGTGTCACAATAGATAATATATGTGAAAGATTTCTATTGGTAAATCCTATACTAAAACATAGAGCATTTGATACAACTTTAAAAAGTACACTCATCCCCAAGCCACCAGATCATCCTTACCCTGAACATGCTGAGTTAGTCCTAGTGTTTTCTGTACATCTCGGCAGATCTTGGAGAGGCAATACTGGAATTCTTCATCACAGTCATTCTTGCTTTTGCCACAGGTCTCATAGCACCTGTCGTGTTGGTTGCAACACTTTGTCAGGGAAGGGATACCAATGTTAAGCTGCAAAAGGCATTTGGATGGATTACTGTCAATGAAATGCAAAACTCCTCTGAAGTACTGCATTCAAATAGACTAAATAGGTATAAATGATAATGACTGCTGTATAGATAGTTCCAAAATCCATTTCTGCCTACAAATATTTTCTGTGTTATAAATCTCCCCATTACACTTACCCATACCCACCCATGTTACTCTCTCAGCTATGCCTCACTGCTCCCTATTCTGCAGCGTTAGAACACTCACAGTTACCTGTCAGTAACAAAATTTCCATTTGTCCAAAACACAAAACATAAGTTTTAAAAAAAGAAAGATGAGGCTAAGTCCATTAAAGATTCTCCAGGGGCTAGGTAAGTATGATTTTTGGATACTCAAAGTGTTTGTGGCCTCTCCTTCCAAATAAAATTTACTTTATGTGAAATATCACAGAAAACTTTCCTACAACTCAAATTTTTTTGTTTTTTAATCTTTAAATATTTCTCCATTCCCCAAAGATACTATTACTCTGAATCTATAACTTCAATTATTTTAAATAACTTTATACACAAAATCCTTGTGTCTAGGAATCATTCTCATAAACATTTTTTTCCCATAATACTTGGCTTAGATCCAGTCACTCCTACAACAACCACACAGCTATCCCACTTAGCCTTGTTTTAATGTCGAAAACATGATTTATCTATACTTTTTCCCTCTAAGTAGTAGCACTTCTGTACTCCAAACTTTTCAACTATGTATGTGATATTGGGAAATATCATTTAAATAGTACGAACATCTATAAGATTCAAAAATAAAACAATTTTACTTCATTTACTTTTGTTAGTTTTGCCAAAAAGAATCTAATAAACCTGATCACTCTTACACCCAGCTAAATTATTTGTGAATCTAAGAACATGCTGATAGTCTTATATCACCAAAAGTATTACATGATTTACCAGTTACAAAACTTATCAAATAAAAGACAATATTTACATGAACACCAAACAGTGGAGAGCCACATCCATTCGGTGGGGAGGGTTTATAACCATAACGTGGGAAAGGCTTAGATCCTATAAAATATAATGGTATCATAATTAATTTTCAAATATGATAAAAGTAAAATACATACTCAAAAAGGTCAATATGCTACATTAGCCTTAGAAATATGTAATATTTACTTGGATGCTAACATAAGTGCATATGTCTTTATTCTGATGAGCATTAAGAATGCTAATTAGACTTTTTATTTCTCCTGTGGTGAGGAATATATACAAATGTGCACATATATACATATACACATATATAGCAACTCATAAAATGTAATTATTTGTAAGCCTATGTCATACGAAACATACAAAAGCTTATCCTGGACTTCTGGAGATTTCAGAGGTCACTTGCCAGATAGGGTTCATATGTATGAAAGATAAATCCACCCTGTTTTCCTGTACATTCTAACACTTTGTTTTTTAGGGCTAAGACAGTATCTTCCCAACTCCCACAAATGCTTCATTGCATACAAACCTCAATAACCATTAACCAACCAGTTTACTTGGGCAAAGCCTAAGGCTAAGGAAGACAAGGTCATCTGATGATCATTCAATAACCTTAGTACTACAAGACATTACAAGACCACGCATTCTGCCTGCTGCCCTCCCACCGAGTCAACCATTCCACAAATATACTTCTTTGCCATCTAAGGAAAAGGTTAGGAGGGATACTTGATGAACTACGGTACTCCAGAAGTACTGTAGTTCTAATGAAGTACTTCTAAAGAACAGAAGACTTGGAAGGCTAATGTTCCCCAGTAGCATCAAGGGTTCAGTAACAAGGAAAAAGATGACATTATCATAGCAATCTTAAATTTTGGAGGGTACTTCAGAAACACCTCACCTCATTTAATACAGGTTTACCTCAGAGATATTGCAGGTTCAGTCCCAGATCATCACAATAAAGCCAATATAACAATGAAGTGAGTCACATAAATTTTTTTGGTTTTCCAGTGCATATAAAAGTTTTGTTTACACTATGCTGTAGTCTATTAAGTGCTCAATAACACTGTCTAAAAAAGCCAATGTACAGATCTTAATTTAAAAATACTTTATTGCTAAAAAATGCTGACACAGATACTAAGTGAGCACATGCTGTGGGAAATATGGCACCGATAGACTTGCTCAATGCAGGGTCGCCGCTAACCTTCGATTTGTTAAAAAGCAAACAAGCAAAAAAAAACCCCACAATTATTTGTGAAGTGCATTAAAGCAAAACACATTAAAATGAAGTATGCTTGTATAGAAATCACTTCAACCTACCAGTCACCTACTGGCTCTTTGAATGTTTCCCACAACCCTCCTACATCAAGAAATAACCTATTCTACTGTGAAATGACATCAATTGTTAAGACATTCTTCTGCTTTCTTTTAAGTTCTACCTATAAACAATCCTCTGCCCCTTGGGGAAACAGAAAAATAAGCCAACTCCCTATTTTACACAATAATCCTTTCAAATATTTTGGGCTACAATTTATCTTGCCTTCTAAAATGAGATATTCCCAGGTATTTTACCCTAAGACATGGCAGTTTCCAAATACAACCCCACAGTTGGATACATAGGAGTGACACAAAGTATTCCGCCAATTTTCATTTAACATTTATTGGTAGATTTTATAAAGACAAGGTTACCCTCCAAAAATAAATTGAGGGTAAAAAAGCAGCTCTTTCAGTAATCAACCATCAAAATAAGGAACCCCTCAAGGTAATAACTGAAAAATGGTTTTGGCTGGGCGTGGTGGCTCACGCCTATAATCCCAGCACTTTGGGAGGTTGAGGTGCCTGAGCCCAGGTTTTTGAGACCAGCCTGGGCAACATGATGAGACTCTGTCTGTATTCAAAAAAAAAAAAAAAAAAAAAAAAAAAAAAATATATATATATATATATATATATATATATATATATATATGAATTTTAAAAAAATAAAAAAAGAAAGAGAAAAAAATAAACGGTTTCAGTGACTTGCTCAGAAGTTCCATGCTCAACTAAGGTCACCATACATAGCCTCAAGAGAGTAGTATAACCTCACGAAGATATAAAGCTATAGCCTGGGCTGGGAGCGGTGGCTCACACCTGTAATCCCAGCACTTTGGGAGGCTGAGGCAGGTGTATCACCTGAGGTCGAGAGTTCAACACCAGCCTGACCAACATGGCGAAACCCCATCTCTACTAAATATACAAAATTAGCTGGGCAATGTGGTGGCACATGCCTGTAATCCCAGCTACTTGGGAGGCTGAGGCAGGAGAATCGCTTGAACCTAGGAGGCGGAGGTTGTGGTGAGCCGAGATCGTGCCATTGCACTCCAGCCTGGGCAACAAGAGCGAAACTCTGTCTCAAAAAACAGTAACAACAAAAACAAAACCTACAGCCTGCTCTAAAGGAAAAATGTATACAAAAAGGAATGGTTAAGATGAGTCTAGAAAAGGGAAGGCCAATGATAGCACTTCGTCTTGTTTCTCCAGCCCTGTCCATAAGGAAGGGTTGTTTCTGGACCCTTGGAAGATGAGGGTAGATGACTCAGGCTATCACAGATGAGTCACCATGATCCTTCAACTCTCATCGCCTACTTTTAGTCCTTCATTCTTTTTTTTTTTTTTTTTGAGATGGAGTCTCGCTTTGCCTCCCAGCAAGCTGGAGTGCAATGGCGCGATCTTGGCTCATCGCAACCTCTGCCTCCTGGGTTCAAGTGAGTCTCCTGCCTCAGCTTCCCCAGTAGCTGGAATTACAGGAGTGTGCCACCAGGCCTGGCTAATTTTTGTATTTTTAGTAGAGACGGGGCTTCACCAGGTTGGCCAGGCTCGTCTCAAACTCCTGACCTCGTGATCCACCCGCCTCGGCCTCCCAAAGTGTTGGGATTACAGGCATGAGCCACCATGCCCGGCCCAGTCCTTCATTCCTAAGAAAACAGTTTATGACTTGGCTTCCTACTTACAAGGGCCTACAGAGGAAGGTCCAGTGGGCATCTCAAACTTAAGCTGTCCCTCCTGACATTCACCTCAAATTTGCTCCATTCACAGTTTGCTGTTTTCAGTTAACAGTAATTCTGTCCTTCCAGATGCTCAGAGCAAAAATGTCAGACATTTTTGCTTATGTTCTTACGTTCTTATACCCCACATTCAATCCAACAGTATATCCTGTTGACTCTACCTTCAAAATATTCAGAATCTAATCACTTCTTACCACCTCCACTACTACCAATCCTGCTCCAAGCCACAATGGATTATTGCTATAAACTCCTAACTATTTGCCCTACTTTGGTTCCCCTGCTCCACACCAACCCCCATAATCCAGTCTCAACACCGAGCACAAATGATCGTATTAAAATATGTTAGATCAAGTCTTTTTCTGCTCAGAGACGCTTTAATGGCTTCTCATCTTATTCAGAACAAAAGCCAAAGTCTATAAAGCCTATGAAACCCTGTATAACCTGGTCTTCCCATGATTTCTCTGACCTCATCCTCTTCCTAGTCTCTCTTCCTTTCTTCCTCAACCTATTCCTCTTTGCTGTTCCACAGACACTGCAGGTCTGCTCCTGTCCCAGGGCCTTTGAACCTGCTCTTCCTGTATGTGGATGCTCTTTCTCCTGACACTAGTTTCTCCTTTACTGCTATGGTTTGAATGTTTGCATCACCCCAAAATTCATGTTGAAACCTAATCACCAATGTGATGGTATTAGAAGGTGGGACTATTGGAGGTGATTAGGTCATGTGGACAGATCTCTCATGAATGGAATTTGTGCCCTATAAAAGTGGCCCTAAAGAGCTGCCCTGCCCCATCCATCACCATGTGAGGACACAGCTAGAAGGTGCCATCTATGAACAAGGAAGTGGACTCTTACCAGACATTGAATCTGCCAAATGCTAGATCTTGGACTTCACAGCCTCCAGAACTGAGGAATAAATTTCCATTGTTTATAAGCCACCCAGTTTAAGGCATTTTGTTACAGCAGCCTGAACAGACTAAGACATTCACCTTCTCAGCAAGTCTTCCCTGACCATACTATTTGTAGCACATATGACCTTCTAACATACTATATCACTAATCTACCTATTTTATTATGTCTCCCCATCCGAAAATGTAAACTCCTCGAAAGCAGACATTTTTGTGTTTTGGATTCCCAATGCCTAGAACAGTGCCTGGAATAACTTTGTGATGAATTTTTACAATAAGTATGTGATGAATTAATGAACAGAAGACTTGGAAGGCTTGGAATATTCATTATAAATGGAGATTATCCGTTAAGAAACCCTGCTGTTTGCCCTAGAGTCTCTTTTGGGCTTGGTGAGCATTCATCAGCCAGCCTCCAAAGACTGATGACTTCTAGCTTGTCACATCTCTTTAAAATACAGCACCTCAGACTGAACACTGTAGGGTAAGATGGGCTTTTTAACCTTTTGTGCTGGATAAAGTACTTGTATTAAAACAGCCTAACACAGTATGTTTCAGCTGTGCCTGACTGCTAACATAGACAGTAGTAAAAAAAAAAAAATCATCAGTTCTTTCTAAAATGGACTTTTTAATACTTACTGCTAGAGGCTTAGCACTTCTGCAATTTAATTTTGAGTCTAAATATAAGATTGTATATAAGATTCAATCTTGTTAGTTTCAGTTCACCATTCTCGACTGCTGAGCAGTTTTTAAATCTAGAGTTATTCACCCAGTGTTGCCTGTTGCTCCCAGATATTCACAAACTTAAGATGCAGATATTAATCAGGACAGAGGTCCACTACAGATGAGTCCTCTCTCCAAGCAGCCGTGAAGTCATCAAATAGTAACCAGTTTTTCTCACAGGAGTATCATGAGAAACTATACATTTATCTATAGTTTTCTTTGCCCTAACACACTATAAATCTCTTCACAGAAAAGGAGGCTGGATCAGCATTTAATTCTTGGGAAGCCCATTCTAGTTCCTCAAGCTTCATCATGAAACTCTCTTTCGTCAGGGGTTTTGACAATCAACTGTTCAAAATGTTTAGAAACATATCTAGAGATACACACTAAGAAATAGGTCAAGTTGTTAATCTGAAAAAAGTACAATAAATACACCAGAGAATGTTCAAAAAGTCTGGAAACAGGAATAATAGTGTATTTACAATATATATTGTTCAGGTTAACAACTGGACTGTTTTAAATTTAGAAGTATATCATCTAAAAAAGTGTCTAGTGGTTAATGAAAAACATATTGAGTGTGTCATTTGAAAATAAAACATAATGTTTATCCTATGTTTCCAACTTTTTAGACACCTTGTACATTCTCCCTCCCTCCCATCTGCCAGTCTAGAGATTTCTGGCACCTCACCCTGTTCCATGAGAAGCAAAGATTACCACCCTCAGACAACCGATATGGGCCTATGGCTTTAAAGACATGTGTCTCAATTGTCTTATTTTGTTTGTTTGTTTTTTTCTGAGACTGAGTTTTGCTCTTGTTGCCCAGGCTGGAGTGCAATGGCATGATCTCAGCTCACTGCAACCTCTGCCTCCTGGGTTCAAGCGATTCTTCTGCCTCAGCCTCCCAAGTAGCTGGGATTACAGGCATGCGCCACCATGCCTGGCTAATCTTGTATTTTTAGTAGAGATGGAGTTTCTCCGTGTTGGTCAGGCTGGTCTTGAACTCCTGACAGGTGATCCGCCTGCCTCAGTCTCCCAAAGTGCTGGGATTACAAGCGTGAGCCATCGCGCCCGGCCTTTTTTTTTTAATCAGAAAGATACTTCCCTCAATGTACATACAACAGCAGTACTTCTATTTTTCCTTCCTTTTGTATTTTATCTAAATCCATAGACTCTGATTTCAAATCTATAAAAACATTCCTGATGCTGATGATGTGTGTAATGACAGTGATACATATATATGTGTATGCATGCGTGTACATATATAGACATTTTCTCATAAGAGATAATTACCTTTGAATGGGAGAATGATCAGACACAAATGAAGTCAGAAAAACTAAAAACATGCCCACCATAGGAGAGTAAAGAGGAAGAGATAGTACAGAGAAGGACAACTGGCAAAAATGAGAATGGAGGTACAAGGAAGTAGGAGGCTGCTGTGCCAAACAGGGCTAGTGGTTATAACTGTCTGAAGAAGAAAAGTTGATAAAAATCAAGTAATAAAGAGCCAACATCTACTGTACATGAAAAACTGGATAATAACACCATGAAATAAATGCTGGTAAAAAGTTTGGCTCCCCAGTGTAAATGGCAAAAGGGGCATATGTGTATGGTTCTTTAGTTTTTTTCAAGGCAAACTCCTAATGTCATTTCTTCAGAGAGGCTTTCCCTGCTTACCCAATCTAAAATAGCACCCCCTCTCTTTCTAGCATTTATTGACCTAATTAACATTAACATTAGTCGGTTTCTATGAAGAAAGGACTTAGTCTTGCTCACCTAGAAGATATTTAGCACACAGTGGGCACCCAATAAATTACCAGATTAAAAAATGGGAAACATTCTTTGATGAAATTAAAATAATTCTTTATCCACAGCAAAAAACTGAAAACTTGGAAGTAACTAGTTTCCTGAGAAATTCTAAAGTATTTTGAAATTCTAAATTCACCTTTAAATTAAAATAGTTATTTCTGAACAAGGCAAGTTATATAGACAGTTCTTTATTAGAGGTTAAGTTGATTCAGACACCAATGTTACAAATGTATTAATATTTTAAATTTTGTTATAGTTTTATAAATGGCTAAGCATTTTAAAAATTAGCATTTCTACTGGTGCCAGTTTTTACAAATAAAGCAAAAACTCAATAATGGAAGAAACAAAATCAGAGTAACATCAAAACACCATGATGTGTTGCGGCCATTGTCCTCTAAAATTTGTAAGCGGATACAAACCAAATCCACTGTGTACAACTGCATGGAAAGACTATTCATTAATTTCCATTTTTGACTTAAGCAATAGCTCCTTCTCTTGATTGTTTATCATTTGTATGGACTGCAGAAATCTAAAGATTTTCATAGACTGAGACAAAGTTGATTATTTTCCATGTATTTTTTCTAAATTTGATGCAAATACTTCCAGATAGACCAACTGTTTTCACCTGACAGAATATGAAGCAGATGACAAGCACAAGAAGTAGTCTGCTGGGTCACACAAAGGTCTCATGGCAGAGTTTTGTAAGATTCCAACCTGCACTCCCAAACACTTGAGACTTTAAGTATTCATGATCATTAATCTCCAAAAGGTCCTTATATTACTTTATTTTTCTAGTCTGTTCACTTTTATATTTTCCTCAAATCTCCAACATCCCCATTCCCCATCTTCTCTGTCAGCTGATGACCTGGATTCCTACTTTACTGAAAAAAGCAGGCAATCAGGAGAACTTGAACATCCACCCACTTAACCAGCACCAGTGCTCATATCCTCTACCTGTGTTCCTATTAACAGGGCTATGCTATATGCTCTTGGCCAAACTCTCTAAGTATGTACTAGAAACTACCCCCTCTCACTTACCCAAGGCTATGACTCCAATAATTCTCTCCCTCGTCAGTATTTCTACTCTCCACTGAACCATTCTCAAAAGCATACAAATGTGTTATTATTTTTCCTAATGCCCGAAAACTGTTCTTTCCACGGTCTTCCCCATATCAGTTAATGGTAATTCTGTCCTTCCAGTTGTTCAGGCCAAAAACTGTGGTATCATTTTTGACTTAACTCATACCTAACTTCTAAGCCATCAGCAAATCTTTTAGGTCCTTCCTTCAAAATATATCCAAAATCCAACTACTTCTCATTACCTCTGTTGCTACCAACCTGAGCAAAATCACCCGTCTTTTGTCTGGACTCCTGCATGCGTCACCCTGCTTCCATTTTTACTCCCCCACTCCCTTGACCCCTTCTGTTCTCAGCACAACAGCCAGAGGGATCCTAGAAAACATACGTCACTGAATTAATTAATGACTTATTCATCATTCTAAAAACATTTACAAGCCAGTTTTGTGTTCTATTTTTCAAAGGAAATCGAAAAGTTTTCTTCCTTAAATCTTCCTTGCTGTCAGGGAGAAAAAAGTTGAAGAAAATAACGGATCATCAAATTTATTTCCCTAAATACTTAACTCTCAATAAGGCCTTTTTCCTACCCAAGAGAGGATGGCCAAAACTAAGGGAGCAAGTCTCCATAATGCCAGTCCCTCAGGTAAAGCAAGGACATGTGCCCTTTATTTGACCAACCTCTCCCTACCATTAACTCACTCTTTTTTTTTTTTTTTAAAGCTCTCTTGATCTCTTTCGTGCAACTAAAAATACCCCTTAATCACCATGTTTCTCCAGATTTGGGATTGTTCTGTTTGGTTCTGATTTGGTCACCTGAATTCCAAAATATAGGAAAGGTTGAATTGTTCCAGAGAGACTGCTCGAGTAACAGCAATTTTATTATTATTATTATTATTATTATTTTTGAGACAGAGTCTTGCTCTGTCACCCAGGCTGGAGGCACGGTCTCGGCTCACTGCAACCTCCACCTCCCAGGTTCAAGCTATTCTCCTACCTCAGCCTCCCAAGTAGCTGGGACTACAGGTGTGCACCACCATGCCCAGCTAATTTTTGTATTTTTAGTAGAGACGGGGTTTCACCATGTTGGCCAGGCTGGTCTCGAACTCCTGAGCTCAACTGATCCGCCCGCCTCAGCCTCCCAAAGTGCTGGGATTACAGGCATGAGCCATTACGTCCTGCCTAATTTTTTTTTTCATTGAGATCCAATTATCTATCAGTATGGTGACTTGGACTTGAAACCACATGTCCGTTAAACGTAGAGTACTTACTAAGACAAAAAATTTTTTTTCACTGAGGCATATAACATTTCTTAAATTCTCAAATTCCTTTGTGTTTTTTTGTGCCAGAGACCTTCCTCTAAACTCCAAATAGTAAATTTTGAGAAGCCTGTAGAAGATGAAAAAGATTAAAAAGAAAGATTAAGCCAGGTGTAGTGGGGGCATGGCCTATAGTCCTAGCTATTTGGGAAGCTGAGGCAGGAGAATTGCTTGAGCCCAGGAGTTGGAGGCTGCAGGGAGCAATGATCACACCACTGCCCTCTAGCCTGGGCACAGAGGGAGACCTTGCCTCAAAAATATTAACAAAAAATAAAATAAAAAGACTAAAACAGTATTTTAACAAGGCTGGTATTCATTCAACTTCAGGCATGTTTTAAATGTAAATAAACTCTAGAACCCTAGACTAATAAATTTATGAAGACGACTCCTTCCAAGTCTTCCCTATCTCTGTAAATGGCAACCGTTTCCTTCCTTTGGCTCAGGCCAAAACCTTCAGAGTCATCCTTGACTGGCCTTTCTCCTCAGGTCCATTGCACTTGCTATTCCCTCTGTCTGGAATGCTGTTTCTCCAAATAACCACATTCCCTCCCCTTACCACGTGCAGATTTCTTCTCAAATATTCTTTCATCAGTGAGGCCTTTGCTGAACAACCCATTTAGAAGAGTAAATTGCCTCCAACATGGCCCCTCGTCTGCCCTGATCAGACTCCACACTTCCCCTAATTTTACTTATTTACTAGTTTACTGCCCATCTCTCCCTCACCAGAACTCAAGCTCCACGGACAGAGATTTTTGTCTGTTTTATTAACTGCTGAATCTCAAATTAGAACAACATCTGAAGCACAG
Source organism: Homo sapiens (assembly GCF_000001405.40). Classification (NCBI taxonomy): domain Eukaryota; kingdom Metazoa; phylum Chordata; class Mammalia; order Primates; family Hominidae; genus Homo; species Homo sapiens. The sequence goes on from NC_000004.12 coordinate 109,728,353, forward strand.
TTGGGACTCAAATATTTGTATAATGAATAGGAATGACTAAGTAAAACTGTAACATTTGCTTTAGGAAAGGCAACTATTTGATCCTTAAATTATGCACTTAATCCTCCGAACAAGTTCTACAAGAATAAAAACATCTTCATGAAGCATACGTTTAGGTGGTAACGTTTAGGCACAAATTTAAGAAGCAATGCAACATGTCTCAGCACCTGTTCAGCGCTTTAAAGTATACAAGATACAGTTCATCCTTTACTTCTATTAACATAAAACTAGAAATTATCTTGAAAATTGCAGGCAGCATGTGGCATCATAGGTTTACATGATACCAGTTCCTTTTAAGTTCACCTATACAATCAGGTTCCAACAATGAAGTCACTGGATCCCCGATTATTTTCCGCTGCCAGCATAATGAGACTCTAACCTTGGCTAATCTTATTGGAAACATGATCTCCCAACTGCTCTCTTAACATTTTCAATTTCCAAACAAAAGTCCAATATTTTTCTGACCTATTAAAATATTTAAGCACTCAAAAATGTGCTACAAAAGAACTATCTCTGCCTGAAATACTGAGTTGATTAGTACTCATACCGCCACCAAACAAATTCTCAGGTTCAAAGAGAAAGTTCAAAAAATATTAAAAGAGTAAATGAAGATAACTGTATTAACGTTAACCAACAATGAGGAGGAGGCGGGTCACTGATATCTAAGGAAAGAAGAGTTATCGGAACCCTTTCTCAACACTCGAGTACACCAAAAGTCTGTACAAAGGTCGCAAGTTATTGTCTATGGGTTTGCAGAAAAAAAACCATTTAATATCAATTATAGAGAAAGTTAATACGGCATGGTTTTTAAATTCTCAGTTTGCTTCGCATGTTCATCCAATTTACAGAAGCAAAAATGAGCTAAAACCAGTCTGTTCCACTCTATTCCCATGATTCCTACGTCAGTAAGTTCTTCGGCAACTTGGTGCAATTGAGGGGGGGAAAAGGTAATTCAGAAGCAATGCAAATGGGACGGGGGGTACACCTCTCCGTTAGAATGTGACCTCTCACATTCTAACAATAGTGGTGCGAACTTGTACCCAGCTTGCTCAATCACTAGAACGGCAAGATTCTAGCAGTGGTTAAGTTTTTCCACAGCCGAAGGACACCGTCAAGGTCTGCCTTGCATCTGTCACTCACACCTCCAGGATCTCCGTCACCCCAATCCCCCGAAAGCACGAGCCCTCGCTGGGCCCGGGTGCCCCCTCACCGTCACTGCATTTATACTGGCAGAGACCGTCCTCGCCTCCCAGGAGGTCCAAGGCGGCGTTCAGGTACGTGTCTATCTTATGAACGCCGTTCCGGATGGTCTTCAGGGTGGCTCTCCAGTCGGTGGTCTGGGCCTGCTCCTGGCACCTGACAACAGCGGCCATGAGGAGGAGCAGGAGGGTGAGCGCGGGGCGCGAGAGCAGGGCCATGCGCGCAGCGCCGGGCTCTACGGGTCCCCGAGCCGCGGCGCGGGGCGCGTCCCCACAGAGTCCCCAGGACGCGCTAGGCAGCGGCGCGGGCCCCGGACTTGGCAGCAGCCAGCTCCATATCCACGCCTCCTTCCCGGCTGGCCCTCAGGATCTCGCTGTCTTTACGTGAACCGCCTCGGGCAGGCAGCGCCGTCGCGGGGACGCGCCCGCTCACCTGGACCAGCGCGCCCGCTCACCTGGGCCAGCAACCGTCCCCTGTGCGCCTGCGCCGGAGCACGGCGCGTCAGCGGCGCACGGGAGGGGCGGGACGCGCAGGGGTGGGGCGGGGCGGGGGCGGGGTTGGGGGGGGCGGGGAACCGGGGGAGGGGCGCGCGGGGCGGGAAACGGGGGCGGGGCCTCCATGCCCACGTGGTCTCCGCGGCACCCTCCCAAGACCCTTGGTCCTGGTTCACAAGAGAACCTTAAAAAGTACCCAGGCCTGAGCCCCTTTTCTAGGGAGCCTGATTACGTTGTCCCAGGTGGCAGTGGGCGTCGGTATTTTTTAAGAAAGCTCTCCGGGCTGTTAACCGTGAAGCAAGAGTTGCAGAGCTAACCCCGGTGGCCTAACCTGACCAGTCGGGGCTCAGCACAGTAGCCCCGAGAGACAAGCTTTTCTGGGTGTGGACAACATCGGAGAAAATAACCCCTGTGCCCCCTCGCAGAGAGCGCTGCGAGAGGTCCAGCTGAGTTTCCGGCTTGAAGACGTGGTTCCATTGGCAATGTGGGCAGAGTCCGGCTGTCAGCTCGCAGAGCAGGGCTTTTCCTCCTTGCGTCCTCTCCCGGTCCTCCAGATCTGCTGTGGCCGCGGTTGGGGGAGCGGGATCTGGAAGATGCCAACCCATGCCTTGGCGGTGCCTGACTCTAATCAGGACGAGCTAAATGCTAGTTTAGACTTTCCGGAAAAAGAAAATGGGCCAACATAAAAATCATAAAATTCTCCCCTGGTAAGGAAGAAACAGTAGTGTAAACTTAAATACAGTAAAAAGTAAAATAAATCTTAAGGAAGTCATTGTTTTTCTACTCAAGGGATTTTGTAACTTGATAGTTACAGTGACGTTTGTTTCTCTGTACCTACCACCCTGCCCCCAGCATTGTGCGGGATCCATAAATAACTATTGCAGTAGTACTTTGTATCAGTTGTAAATATCTGGTTATCTTAGTATCACAGCAGTTTCCAAGAATTTTACAGTAAGATCCAGAGCAATGTTGAAAGTATTGGGCAGACCAAGCGCGGTGGTTTACGCCTGTAATCCCAGCACCTTGGGAGGCCTGGAACTCCTGAGGTCAGAAGTTCGAGACCAGCCTGGCTGACATGGTGAAACCCCATCTCTACCAAAAATACAGAAAATTAGCTGGGCGTGGTGGCGGGCACCTGTAATCCCAGCTACTCGGGAGGCGGAGGCAGGAGAATCACTTGAACCCAGGAGGTGGATGGATGTTGCAGTGAGCTGAGATTGCACCACTGCACTCCAGCTTGGGGCACAGAGCGAGACTCTAAAAAAAAAAGAAAGTGAGTAAGTATTGGGCATAGGTGTGTCCTTTCTATAAGAATTACCAATAAGTTCTAGGTTTGGCCTTTTGTGTTTGTTACAAACTAAATGAGCTTATAATAAACGTTCAGTGCACAGTTCATAAAAATTACATCCCTCTTTATTGAGTGCTTACTATGTGCCAGGCACTTCATGAATATGATCGCTCACATTCAGAACACTACTTTACAAGGATGCAGACTTTGGGCAAGTTAGAAACATAGAAAGGCATTCCTCCCTACAAACAGGGTAGCCCAACAAACGGTGTAGCTCCTGGCTGGAGACTGCCTGCACTTCACTCAGCCCCTCAACCAGGAGTCTTGGGCAGTGATTAATTCCTACCACAATGGAGAAGGGGGAAGAATGTTCCCTGGAAGGTATTATTATCTTCCTCTTTTACAATAAAAGAGTCGAGGTGAGAAGTCATGTGACAGTATCTACTCCAAACCAAGGCCTCTGTCTTCACAAAATACCACAGATATTTTTATTTTTTAATTTTTAGACAACACATTTCAATACATTTTAAAAAGGGAACTTAGAATCATTGTCTTAGCTTTCTGGAACATTGGTTTCTCAGCTCCAAAGTATGAAAGTTGGACTAGATTACCTCTGAGATACCACCACCTGAATCCTTAAACCAGGCTTGGTTCTTACAACTCCCTAGTCCAGGGACAAGACTTTCAAAAGAAAGGATAGAATGTAATAAAATAACCTAGTTCCAGCCCTCAGTTATGACCCAAAGCCTCTCCTTTCCCCCACTTTCTCTATTTATTTACTTCTTTGTGATCTCATCTAATTTCTTACACCTTAACTACAGCCTATACTCTGAGGAATCAGACGTAGTTTTCTTTGTCTGATCTCTCCTTAGGGATTAAATTCTCAAATGCCAGTTCTTCTGGCTTGATGCAGCTGTTCTCTTTCTCTCAAGCAAATCTTTCCACTGTCTTCCCCATGAGAATCACCACCATTTTTGTAGAAAACAAGACTCTAAGTTTTATTTTCACATTCTTTTCACATTTAATCATTATATATTTGTTGTTCTGCTGCAGTAATTACAAGGTTTACGTTTTCCTCTTAATTGATGCTGTTAAATACCAGGGATCTGCACTGACCACAGACTATCTGTATAATTTGTAGGGCTCAGTGCAAAATAAAAATACAGAGCCCCTTGCTCAAAAATTAAGAATTTCAAGGTGATGGCCGGGTGCGGTGGCTCACGCCTGTAATCCCAGCACTTTGGGAGGCTGAGATGGGCAGATCACGAGGTCAGGAGATCGAGACCATCCTGGCTAACACGGTGAAACCCTGTCTCTACTAAAAATACAAAAAGTTAGCTGGGCATGGTGGCGGGCACCTGTAGTCCCAGCTACTCGGGAGGCTGAGGCAGGTGAATGGCGTGAACCCGGGAGGCAGAGCTTGCAATGAGCCAAGATCGTGCCACTGCACTCCAGCCGAGGCCACAGAGCAAGACTCTGTCTCAAAAAAAAAAAAAAAAGAATTTCAAGGTGATAACAGCAGAGCATTAAAATAAGTACAGAGCCCTTTTGACTGTGGGGCCTTGTGCCACTACACAGGATGCATGCTCTGATTTACCATATCATATAAATTTTTTTTTTTTGAGTCTGGCTCTGTTGCCCAGGCTGGAGTACAGTGGCACAATCTCAGCTCACTGCAACCTCCGCCTCCCAGGTTCAAGCTATTTTCCTGCCTCAGCCTCCCGAGTAGCTGGGATTACAGGTGCCCGCCACCACACCTGACTAATTTTTTGTATTTTTAGTAGCAATGGGGTTTCACCAAGTTGGCCAGGCTGGTCTCGAACTCCTGACCTCAAGTCATTCCCCTGCCTTGGCCTCCCAAAGTGCTGGGATTACAACATGAGCCACTGTGCCCAGCTCATCTCACGTAACTTCTAGATGACCCACTTCCATCTTTTCTTCCCAAATTTTGGCATAAACTGTTTGAAAAGAGCCTTCTTTACAGGACACTTTCATCTAACCAGCAAAACCTGTTATTTTCATGACAGACATCATTAGTTGCAAATCCACAGCTGTGTTCCAGGTCTTTCCTGCTAGAGAGTGGCTAGCTTGTCTATATATACTTTGTGGTGGGCAGAAGCTGAAGATAGGAAGTCAGTTATGATACAGTAATCTAGGTATGGCATAAGTATGGCTTGGTCCAGGAAAGGAGCAGTGGAGGTGTGAAAAGTGGTCATATTCTAGATGTAACTTGATGGTAGAGCAGAAGGGATTTGCTGATGGACTGAATATGAGAGAAAAAGAGGAATCAAGGATGGCATTGAAATTTTGGCCTAAGCCACAGGATAGAGAGAGTTCTAACTGTCAGAAATGGGGAGAATTGTGGAAGGAGAGGGTTTTGCGGGAAAATTTTAAAAATAAATTTCAGTCATACCATATCCAAGAAGCTTATTCTGAGTCTGCAGTTCAGCATAAAGGTTAGAAACGCATTGGGAAGTTGTCAGAATAGAAATGGCTTTTAAAGTCATGGGGCTTAGCTGGGCGCAGTGACTCATGCTTGTAGTCCCAGCACCTAGGGAGATCAAGGCTGGCAGATCGCCTGAGTCCAGGAGTTCAAGAGCAGCCTGGGTAACATAGCAAAACCTTATCTCTATAAAAAAAATACAAAAATTAGCCAGGCATGGTGGTACATGCCTGTAGTCCCAGCTACTTGGGAAGCTGAGGTAAGAGGATCCTTTGAGTCCGGAATGCAGAGGTTGCAGAGAGCCAAGATTGCGCTATTGCACTCCAGCCTGGCAACAGAGCAAGACCCTGTCTTAAATAAATGAATAAATAAATAACATGGGACTAAATGAGATCCTCTAAAAAGTGAGTGTACACAAAGAAGCAGAGCAAGGTCTAAGTCTTAGGAGGTCAAGGAAAAAAGAACAAAGGCGCTTAAGAAGGAGCAGCCAAGTGCAGCAGAAGTGGAAAAGTGCTATATTCTGGTGTGTCAAAGAAAGACAGAACCACCCATTCTGCTGATATGAGGAAGGTGAGGGCCGGATATTGACTACTAGATTTAGTAACTTGGGGGTTATTGGTGAACTTCACAAGAGTCTCATTGAAGTACTAGGGAGAAAACACAGTTGTAGTCAGAGGAAGAAAAGAATTAGAAATGGCGATTACAGGCAGGACGCAGTGGCTCATGCCTGTAATTCTAGCACTTTGGGAGGCCAAGGCGGGCAGATCACACGGTCAGGAGTTCGAGACCAGCCTGGCCAATATGGTGAAATCCTGTCTCTACTAAAAATACAAAAAAATTACCTGGGCGTGGTGGCAGGTGCCTGTAATCCCAGCTACTCGGGAGGCTGAGGCAGGAGAATTGCTTGAACCTAGGAGGTGGAGGTTGCAGTGAGCTGAGATCGTGCCACTGCACTCCAGCCTGGGCAACAGAGCAACAGTCTGTCTAAGAAAAAAGAAAAGAAAAGAAATGCAATTACAGTGAATATCAAAATAAATTATGAAAATATAAAATATACTATATTTGTGCTTATTCTTGTCTGAATGATATATTAATAAATACCTTGGAATGGGAGATTCTGGGTGGCCAAGACTGGCTTTCTTTTCTTTTCTTTTTTCAGAGACAGAGTCTCATTCTGTCACCCAGGTGGGGGTAGCATGATCATAGCTCACTGTACCCTCGAACTCTTGGGCTTAAGCAATCCTCCTACTTCAGCCTCCTGAGTAGCTAGGAATACAGGTGTACACAACTGTGACTGGCTAATTTTTGTTATTGTTATTATAGAGATGGGGTCTCCCTGTGTTGCCCAGGCTGGTCTTGAATTCTTGGGCTCAAGTGATCCTCCTGCTTTGGCCTCCCAAAGTGCTGGAATTACAGTCATGAGCCACCGCACCCAGCCCTACACTATATTTTCTATATAGAACTTCCCAGAACAATAATCAGGATAGGCAGTCAGATCTCAGATCTCTTCTAGAAACACCAAATGGTTTCTTCTATATATATGAGCATCATGGAAAAACATGGTAGTATTGATGAGATGAGAATGCAAAATTTGTGGGGTTTAACGTACCACATTAACTTAGAATGCTTGGAAACTACAATATTACACAATGCTTTGTGTTATTTTAAATAACAAAAATCAATAAAATATTAATGATAAACAGCAATTTCTATTTTTTAGTATTTTCCAATGTCTCACTAATGGCCTCAGCAGTGTTGTGATGAAAATAAAAGCCACGTGGTGAAAACAGTTCCAGCCATAATGGTTAATTTTTGTCCAGGATGAAAATAAAAGCCACATGGTGAAGCAATTCCATCCATAATGATTAATCTATGGCTAGTGCCAATGTCGCGGGAATCAGGCGGATGAGAGAGACTTCGGGGTAAAGCAGGAGGATCTTTATTGAGTGTACTCAGACTTACATCTGGAAAACTGGGCCTAGAACAAAGACAGCACTTGACTTTTATACACACTTCAAAAAGGGAGTGGGCTAGCTTGAAGCAGGCTTACAGTTACAGTGGTGTGAAAGCAAGGATACAGAGGCAGAGCAATTAATCAAATTGTGACAGGTTCATAACTCAGGATTACACATGACCGTTGCTGTGCAACCCAGATGTCAGTTATCTAGGTTTTCCTTTAGTGCCTAGCACAGCTTATTCCATGACCTTCACTATGGCGTCCAGGTGGCTGTATCTCAGGCCTGCTCAGACAGTTTATGACCTTCACTCCACTACTTAGATAAAACAGAATGCTTGAAGTTGCTAGTTACAGAGAACAGAAATCTATAAACTCATACTATAAGAGAAAGGAAAATTTGTTTTTCTTCTCCTTATGTTGAGGGAGTGCTGGGAGAGTCTCCAGAGCACATTCCTTTGTGTCCTAGCTTCTTAGATAGTGTTTATCAAGACTCTTTTTCCTGGGTCTGGGCCTTGCCTGCTACTGCCTTTGGGATGAGTCAGCCTAATACAGGAAAGCTTACTTCTTTCTCTTTTTAATTTTATTTTTCTTTATTTCTTTAATTTCCCACCGCACCAAGGCTAGAAGTTTCATCTCTAAAAGGGAACTTAAGTTAAAGAGAAATAAGTACTAGGTTCCAGCCTTTGGCTAGAAAGTCAATGGCATTAATAGCTTTCAAGCTGGGACAAAGTGAAGGGCAAGAGATGGCTGCACCAGATCTATGAGCATGGGCTTGTTCCATAATATGTTGAAGACAATGATCCTCTGCTTGGGTATGGTGGGGGGTCTACCATCAAGAAAATTTGATCAAAAAGATATTTTCAAGGTATCTTTGTATGCACAATGTAAGATTGCTTGGCACACAGGAGGGATGGAAAGAACCCACTTAGTTGAGACTGCAGGGTTTTAAGCCATCAGGACAGAGTCCGTATGTAGTTCTTCTAATTAGGGTTCCTGGCTACTTCCAAACCTCTGGTTGATTTTCAGCTTCGTATTTCCTATCACGTACTGTACACCTTCACTGGGCTTCCTTAGACATCACAACTTCAAAATATCCCTAACTGTCTAAATCTGATTCCATTCCTCTACTTCCTTCCTTTCTGTACTCAGTGGCAACACCAATCACCTCACCATCTAAGAGACTGGGAATTATCCTAGTCTCAAATCCCTCTCCCTAGTACTGTAATCTATTTGTCCCCAAATGCCATCTATTTCACTCAACATATCTAGAGTCAGTGCCATCCTTTTTATCCCTGCTTTAGTTTCTACCTTCATTATTTTTCATTTGATTACTCCAAGAGTGTCTTAACCATCTTCCATACCCTCTCTCACCCACTTCCAATACATCTTCCTTGCTGTCTCCAGCTTGAACTTCCTAGAATCCTTTAATGGTCCAAACTCTTTGGTATGAGGCTCTCCCTGGTATGGCCTTTCCCCCTCTCCAGCTCCTTAGCTGCACCCTGGGCTCCAGTCACTATGAACTGCTCTCCATCCTTGTGTGTGGTTAGCTCCTCACACTGCAGGGCCTTTGCATTTGTATCTGCCTGGAAAGTTCTTCCATAATTCAGACTAAGCTCACCTCTGCAGAAGCCCTCTTTAATATGTCAGGCTGGTTTCTAGATCTCCCTTTAGTTTTCCTTACCATTGTACCTGGCAAGGTGCAGCCGCATAATTTATTTTCCCATTTCTCTTGTAAGACAGAGAGCTCTGAAACCAGGGTTAAATATAAGACGATGGCAGAGCTCCACATCCAATGAGTTGTGTCCCTGGCCACCTTCAGGCGAGCTCACAGAAGCAGCAATGTCCAGTGCCCAGGCTCTGCAGTACAAGCTGTACGTGGAGACTGGGACCCATGCTAGTGGCCATGGTAGTCTCTGATGGAGCAGTCCTGCAGTGTGGTCTGTGAGCGTTATTTCCAGATGTGTAGACTCCAATTCTCTGGCTCTTTTGGAAATTCTGTGAACTGCATAATATCTTTGAATAAATCTATTTTTTCATTAAACCAGTTAGATTGGCTTCTGTAGTCTGGAATTAGGAGCGCTGAGACAGACCTCTAAACTAGGAGAAGCTTGGAGTCAGGTCATCTCACTCCTGCTGTTCCTGGTCTCTGTCACATAGAGTCGCTTCAGAGGGCTGACTTTCACCCTTCAAGGCTTGACCCTGGTCTACTTTTCTGTGAAGCTGCCAGATGCTAGGTCACTGTGCAGACTGGCTTGGCCCTTTTGGGGGCCCCCTTCCTAGATTGGCTGAGGATGCCCTATATGCTGGGTTTCCCACCTTGTAGCACTGGAGTACTTTTCTTTTTTTTTTTTTTTTTTTTAAGACGAGGTCTTGATCTGTCACCCAGGCTGGAGTGCAGTGCTGCAATCACAGCTCACTGCATCCTCAACCTCCTGGGCTCAAATGATCCTCCCACCTCAGCCTTCCAAGTAGCAGGGGCTGCAGATGTGCACCACCACTCCCAGCTTTTTTTGTGTGTGATAGAGATGGGGTCTTGCTATGTTGCCCAGGCTGGTCTCAAACTTCTGACCTCAAATGATCCACCAACTTTGGTCTCCCAAAGTGCTGAGATTACAGGTATGATCCACTGCGCCCAGCCACTTTTCTCTTTTTATCTCATACACAGACATATTCTAAGGTGCTGCGTTGCTCCCGGATTGCTGAGTCAGGACAAGGTGGTTTTCAAATATGTCCATAAATTCTTTGATACACCTCCTCCCTGCCGCCATCAAGAGATGGGTTATTTCCTTTCCTTTGAGCCTGGGCAGGTCTTTGTGATGCTAAGGGACTTCCAAAGCTGGGTTAGAGAAGGCCATGCAGGTTCTGCAGTTTCTCTTGGGAGGCTCATCGGCTGCTATGTAGGAAGTCTGGTGCCCCCGGCCCTGCCATGTTAAGAGCCCATGGGGAGAGTGCAGAGAGACATATCTGAGAAGCCCCAGCTGTCTAAGTCCGCCCAGCCCAGGCACCAAACACATGAGTGAATAAGCCTTCGTGATAACTCTGGTCCAATCCTGTCTGACGGCAACAGCATGAGAGACTGGAAGGGGAACTTCCCAGCAATAAATAACCAAATACTTTCCTGAATTTAATGGATGAAAAATCTGGGCAGCATGGGAGGGAGGAGTGGTGAGTTATTGTTTAATAGATATGAAGTTTCAATTTGGGGAGATGAAAATTTTCTGCAGATGGATGGTGATAATGATTGTACAACAATGGGCATGTATTTAATGTCACTCAACTTTACACTTACAAATAGTTAAAATTGTTACTTTTATGTTATACATATTTTACCACAATTTTTAAAAGAAAATCTGGGCAGTAACTGATTTTGGAATATATGTAAAAATGGGTATTTATATTATTAAATCAGTAGGGATCTATCCAAGACTGGCCCTAAATAAAATAATAAAGGGAATATTTATGTGAAACATATATGTCTGTCTTCAGGATAAAGATAGCTGTGCTTAAAAAAAAAAAAAAGAGTAGCTAATGTTTATTCACTGAGCAGCCTCTATGAGGCAAGTGGTAGGGATGTAGCCAGAAGGAAGACAAATGAGGTCTCTCTTGTCATGTGTCTTATGTTGTAGTTGGAGGAGACAGTGTTGAGAAGAGGTAGACAACCCAATCAAAACAGAATACACTGGGGGAAGAAAAGTACTATGCTGAGATTAAAGTAGGTGGTGTGACAGAGGGAGACTGGGCACCTACAATAGCCTTGGGGTCGGGTGGGGGTGCTATTTTCTGTAGGTTAAGAAAGTGCAACTGTTGAGTTTGGGTTGACCACTTTTCTTTTGAAATGTTACTAGATATTCACATGGCAATGGTATATACTAGTGTTCAGTGGCATATACTAATCTGAGGTTCTAGGAAAGGTCAGAGCTGAAGATCCAGATTTGTGAGTCACCGGACTGTAGGCAGGATTTAAAACGTAGTCTAGATGAGATTACCAGGGAAAGGCAAAGTGAGAGAAGCAACCAGAAGGAAGAGGCTGAGAACAGCAGTGAGGGAGGAGTGTGATGCCCTGAGGGGCTAATGCTGCTGCGATGAGAACAGAAGTGACTGTGAGGTCTGACACCATGGAGGTAGGTGGTTGTATTGAATTATCTGTGGATAGGTTTAGAGAGAGGGTCAAGGAATGCTTGTGAAATGGGGGAGCAAAGGCTAATTTTTCAAGAAATGTTAATACTTAAAGAAGCAGGGGCCTGGTGTGGTGGCTCACGCATGTTATCCCAGCACTTTGGGAGGCCAAGGTGGGAGGATCCCTTGAGCCTAGGAGTTCAAGACCAGCCTGGGCATCAAAGCAAGATGCCTCTCTACAAAAATTTAAAATTAGCTAGGCATGGTAGTGTGCACCTGTAATCCCAGCTACTCGGGAGACTGGGGTGGCATGATTGCTTGAGCCCAGGAGTTCAAGGCTGCAGTGAGCTATGATGGCACTTCTGCAGTCCATCCAGGGCAACAGAGGGAGACTTTGCCTCAAAAAAAGAAAGAGAGAAAGAGAAGAAAGAAAAGAGAAAAAGAAAGAAAGAGAGAGAAAGAGAGAAAGAAAGAAGGAAAGAGAGAAAAGATGAGAAAGAAATAAAGAGGAAGCAGGGAAATGGGACAAGAGCTGTGAAGTCAGTTATTACCCTGTGACAGGTACTATGCCAAACATTTATGTAAGTATGTAGTTTCATTTTCACAGAATTCCAGTTTCCATTTTATAGGTGGAAAAGGAGACACAAAGAAGACAATAAATTGTCCAGGGCATAGTAGGTGATAGAGCTGGGATTTGAACCCAACCTTATGTAAGTCCAACATTATTCAATTAGTTGTAACTTCAGTCAATAAATCACTCCCGCATTGAGATAATTTAATAAAATTTTCTGATAAATAAAACTTGTATGCTTCACCAAAATATTTATTTGAGAATTATACAACAAAATTCCAATATGGCATAAACTCTGTGGAGACCTTTAAAAATATCCAGTGAGATTTGCTTCATTTTTCCCCCCTAGAGAATTATTAATTATACCGTTTTATTTCCATTAAATGGAACTCTTGAGAGAAAAAGAATAGAATGAAGAGAGAGATCACAATTTTATACATTGTACTGAGAAATAAAAGGCCTTCCTACATGGTAGCTAATCCAGTCAAAATAATTGGCCACTTTGGTGTAAACACCTGGGAACTCTGGTTTTCCACAGTTTTCCCCCCAACTCACAACACCCCAGACATAAGTCACATTGTTGGCATCCATACAGACTAAGGGGCCTCCAGAGTCCCCTTTACAGGCATCGATGGAACCATCATATGTACCTAAGAAAGAAATGTGAAAGAGAAAATCACACATTTCCTTCCATTTTTCAAGGCTGCCATGCCTCCTCCATGGCATTTAACAACTTTGGCTTTTTTACAGTTTCCTGACAGCAATAGCATGGGCTCTCCTTAGAGTCCCTGGCTGGGCTTGCAGAGTTGCAGAGATGCAGCTTGGAAAATTCTTTACGAGTCTTCTATTTATTCCCCCAATTCAGCATGTTCTTCCTGTGTTCTCTACTTTATACGACTGAGTACTGAGATGAGATTGCAACCTGAAAGTTGCATCAAATGCTGAGTAGGAAAATGATGGGACTGCCTAGTGCTTACTGAGTGCTAAATATTTATTAGTCATTCATTGTCTTCATTCTTACCACAACCCTATGAGGCAAATATCATTATTGCCCCTATTTTATACATAAGACAACTATGACACGGAGTTTAACTTGTCTAAGGTCACACAGCTAACAAACGACAGGGCCTGGACTTGAACCCAGGCAACCACACCTCAGAGCTTGTCCTCTTGACCATGATACTCCCTTTTGGGAGATTTTGTGCTATTCACCTATTTTGTCCACTGTAATCCTGAACTCCATTTCAAGATGGGAGGACACTTTCTTCTTACTCATGATTTTCTGAGATTTTTAAATCACTGTAACCAGTAAGTTATAGGATGTCAATAACTGCCTTTTCAGTAATACACCATTTAGAAATGGTTTCAATAAAGCACCTAAATGCACTACACTGGCTGGTACTTTGCCTGCCTCTGTATCACCTCCAAAAGTAGGAGCTGCTATTGTTGTATTGGGCAGTAGAATTAGCTTAACCATGTTATCAAAGGAGTCCGTGGCGTAAGAAATGCGCTGTGATTTCCATGGAGGGAAAAATTTACTTCCAAATGGAAGTAAATCTCATCTCATTTGAGATGAGATAACTTGAATTTGTATTTAAAAGTAATTTAGTTTTGATCCTGGGTGTACCACCTCTTGTCTGTAAGACTTTGGACAAATTATGTAACTGCTCTGCATCTCAGATGCCTTATCTATGATCTTCAATTTTACAAATGAAGAAACCTGCTCAAGGTCACATGACTAGCAATTAGTAAAAGCTGGGATATAAATCTAGGTCTGGTTCCAGAGGCCGTGCTCTTAGTCACCTTGCTGTGCTGCTATAGAATCGCTTAAGGAGGATTTTTCCTCATAGTATTAGAGGAAGAAACCTGAGCTACAGGGAAGGGACTGAAAGAGTTTGAGAGTGCTACAGCCAGAAGGCCAAATGGAGGGAATTAGGGCCCAAAGCATGGGGGCTGATGTGGTGGGAGGAGATGTTTGATAGGGGAAATACATACATCTTGACATCTTGGATAAACCACTTGGCACTTACCTGCACATTCCATTTCTTTTTCATAGAAACGATTTCCGTAAAACTTAGAGCAGTTGCTTATTAGTTTAACTTCACCCCACTGAAGTGAAAAGACTCTTTCGTTATCTAAACAAAGTGAGAAAGCAAACATTTAGAAGTCACAAATGAGAAATCTAAATACATACTCTCATAACTTAAACCATTGGGATTATGAAAGGGTGTATAGTTTTCAATATATATAAATTTTTGAGAACTCTTCCTTAGCGTGTTTAATCATATCATATGTCTATTTCTAAAATTGGATGGATAGTCAAGGGGGACTATTGAACATATGGTCTGAAGTCACATTCATTTAATAAAGAGCTGGTACCTTAAGTTGAATGAGATAAATCTTTCCCTTTTGGTTGCAGAACTCAGTCAGGCAATTGGATAGGAATCAGTGATAAGGTCTTTTCACATAAATACCTCCTATCTTCTCACAGTCCCTTATTTCCTTGAGAATGTTTGTTAAAGCAAAAACAATGTTTTAATATAAGAACTTCAAATAAAGGAAATACATACGAAGTTATCAATGTTTGTGTGTTTTTGTGTGTCTGAGAAGAAAAATCCATCTCCTAAGTGATTTGAAGTTATTTAAAAGGGGATTTAAGATTTTCTTCCTCAAGTGATCTGCCCCACTCAGCCTCCCAAAGTGCTGGGATTACAGGCATGAGCCATCGTGCCCAGCCAGGAAGGAGTTTATTTTTTTTTTCCTTTAAGCTCTACTTCAAGTTAGTCTCAAGACACCTGCCTTCCTTAGAACAAGAGCTTTTTTAAAAATAGTAATTTCTTATTTCCTCTAATTTGGGAAAAGCCTTTAAAACTGTGAGCAATTCTTAATGGCCCAGGAGATAGTTTGTGCCTTGGCACTCTTGTAAGCTTCTTGAGGCAGCTCTCCGACGGTAGCTGAGGCAGCGAAAGGGCAGAATTTTAACTACTAGACTTTAAGGTGGTCAGTAAACACCTTGAGAGCTGGACTTCATCTTTCAGCCATGGAACTTATTCATCCCCTTGTTTGTTGACTGGGTCCATATTTTCCATCAGTGAAATCCTAGCACTTTAGCATTGCTATCTTGCAGACATAGTAAATCCTCAATAAATGTGTTAAACCATTATTAATAAATGTGTTAAACCTTTGATCATTGATTAAGGACATATCTAACTATCAGTTTATATGAAGTACATGGAATAAGGGAACATGTTAAATGCTAGATCAGGCTGGGCACAGTGGCTCATCCCAGGACTTTGGGAGGCCAGGGTGGGAGGATCACTTGAGCTCAGGAGTTTGAGACCATCCTGGGCAACATGGCAAAATCCCATCTCTACAAAAAATACAAAAATTAGCCAGGCATGGTGGTCCCAGCTGCTTTGGTGGTTGAGGTGGGAGGATCGCTTGAGCCCCAGAGCTCAAGGTTGCAGTGAGCTAGGTTTGTGCCACTGCAGTTTAGCCTGGACAACAGAGCAAGACCCTGTCTCAAAAAAAAAAATCCAGATAAAGAATGTGATTAGCCAAATTCAAGGTATGGGAATTCCAAAATAAGAATTACCCATTCTCTTTAATGATTAAATTTTAAATAAAAGGAAGGGGTAACTATTCTAGATTAAAACATTTAAGAAAAATAACCACCAAATGCAATGTGTGGACTTTGTTTGGATCTTGATTCAAATAACCTGATTATAAAAATATTTTTAAAAATAAATGAGGAATATTAAACATGGGCTTTATTTTATTGGGTATGAAAATGGTGTTGTGTCCTTATCTGGTGAAGATATATACTGGAGTATTCATGGGTGAAATTATATGACATCTGGGATATGGTTTAATATACTCCAGGAAAAATATGTGGGGGAATATGTTGAATAGCTCCTGAATGTGCCTCAGACCATTCTCCACCCTTCAATGCCGTGCATCCTGCCCTAAGAGCCTGACCTGTGGCCTCTGGTTCCCAGGTGGTTTTAGACAAAGAGGACCCTAGCAGGAGGGAGGGAAGGAAAGAGGTAGGCTAGTGAGATTGGGACTGGCTATACCCTTCAGCTCAAGATCCTTGCTTCTCTCAAGGCAGCCTGCTCTACCTGAGACTTTTTCTCCATCTAGTAACTTCTCCTACTCTTCCGCTTTCAGATCCAGGAGTTAAGACAGCTCTGGTACCTCTAGTCCTGGGTACCTGCGTAGCCCCTGTGATTCCCCAACCCCCTACGTATATCTTTGTAATGAACCCTTTTATAAATAAATCTTCCTAATTGCTCCATTGAGACCCCAATTAATATGGGGAGATACAACAAGAATGACAGAATGCTGATAACTGTGAAAATTGGATGATGGATAAGTAAGGGTTTATTATACTTTAATCTCTATTTTTGTGTATACTTGTAAATGCACATAATAAAAGATTTAAAAAAACAGAACAAGTATAAGGACACAATACTCTCTTGATGAATTAATTCCTAATACAATTTGGTGTTTTAGAAGTTTTAGGTATTCAGACATACCACAAATCCAGATTAATTTCTACATATATTTTACACCTTCCAATGTGGCAATTATAATGAATGTGTTGGAATATGAGTCTAAAAGACCAATGCAATGAAGGTACTTAGAGTTTCTGCTATCAAAGAGAATTTAAGATGTTGAAAGGAAGCTAAATTTTAAGGTTAAATCTTCCTTTTTTTCTGTTATGCTTGTGGTTGTTTTGAGACAGAGTCTCGCTCTGTCACTCAGGCTAGACTGCAGTAGCACAATCATGGCTCACTGCAACCTCAACCTCCCGGGCTCAAGTGATCCTCCCACTTCAGCCCCCCTCAACCTCCAGGAGCTGGGACTACAGGTACACACCATCACATCCAGCTAATTTCTAAATTTTTGGTAGAGACAGTGTCTCAAACTCCTGGGCTCAAGTGATCACCTGCCTCGGCCTCCCAAAGTGCTAGGATTAGAGACATGAGCTACTATGCCCAGCCCAAGGTTAAATCTTCAAGATGAAGGGAAAGGTGTTGACTAGTTTAATTCTAATCTAATCTCTAATTCAGCAGATCTTTCTAAGAATTTGTCTCTGAGTGTCCACATCTTTTATTCGTATGAAGTGTTCACCACAAGTCTTCTTAGAAGTTCAAAAAATGAATTCCTTATGTTCTTTTTTTCTTTGTAGAGAGGGTAGGTGCTGGGGAATAGGGAAAGAGGGAGGAGGGGAGTGAGAAGGAGGGTTGTGGGCATCAGCGATTCAACATACACCAAGGCTATCCCTTTGTAAACCTTTTTATCTTTTACCCACATCTCCCCAACAAATCCAAACAGTCCATGCTGTATGTCTCCCTGTCTCTATATTTTTTTCTTGGTGAATGGCTACCCTTCAAAGTTTGCCACAGGATCATAGAGAGAATATATATGACCTTTGAAAGCCTAGATAAGGACTGGTTCCATAATTTGCAGAGTCCAGTGAAAAATGGAAATGTGGAATGGGGCCATTTCAAAAATTATGAAGAATTTCATGCTGGTGACAACACAGCAATAAATCAAGCCTCAGGGCCTTCTGAGCATGGGGTGCTGGGCAGCTGCACATGCTGCAAACCCATGAAGCCAGCCATGGCTGGATGTTTACTTTTCTGGATATGATGTTATGCTTCTCTCTGAGTGCTAGGAAATTAGCTCCTATACATTTCTATTCTCTTTCATTTCCAACTCATGGCTTCTGATTAACAAACTGTAAAACATATACCTTTTTCTCGTCCCCAGCCAGAAACGATGCATGTATCATTAGGTTGGAATAGGTAAGGAGACCAGGGGACACAGGCAGGGATGGAACGAGGCAGCTCACAATCTTTTTTGTTTCCGTCTTTTTTCATTTCAATCAAAGCGATGTCATTTTGGTAAGTGCCTGCATTGTAGTTTTCATGGAAAATAATTCTATCCACGTATTCAATTACTATACGTTTAAGGTCGGGGTGTATCCAGTCTACTACTGTTGTCCATATTTGGTAACGATGAGTTTTACTGGCTCTATAACAGAAAAAAAAAGGAAATAAAATATATTGAGAAAAAATATAAATAGGAATTCTGACACTTCACTTTTATATTTTTCCCTTTTAAAAACCTTTTTCATTTCCCCAGAATTTTGTAAATGCTTGCTGTCATGAAGCAATGAGATTAAATTTACTTAGTGCAGAATTAGGTCAATGGTAAATGATAAAGCTAGGAATAATCCATGTAACTGCTCAATATGAGGAACATAAAGAACACATTAACAACTAGAGATGCCCAAAAGTGGAATGAGTTTGCTGCCTCTGGAGTGAGTGTGCCGTCGCTGCAGGTGTTTAAGCAGAGACCAGACAGCATCTTGCCATAAATGTAGTTAAGGAACTAGGGAGTTGGACCACACACACTCATTACTCTGCCAACCCTAGAGGTTCCCAGGGCAAAGGCCACAGCAGTCATTATCCTGACCCTTAAGACTAACTTTATCCTAACATTGCATTGTATTTATTTGTTCACATGCCTTTCCTCACACTAGACTGTGCTGCTTGAAGCCAGAGATGGGGTCTGATTCATCTGTGCAGCCCTGGTGCCTACTATTATATCTGGATCATAGTAGCTGTTTTAAAATCCTGTTGAAATGGTGAATGAGCTAAATATTGCCTATTCTTATGCTTCACTACATTTTCATATCAAGTTTCTTTCTTCCCTTCTTTCTTTTTAAAACAGAGACAGGGTCTCACTCTTTTGCCTAAGCTGGAGTACAGTGGTGTGAACATAGCTCACTGCAGCCTTGACTCCTGAGCTCAGGAGACACTCCCACCTCAGCCTCCCTAGTAACTAGAACTACAGGCATGTGCCACCACATTAAGCTAATTTAAAAAAATTTTTTTGTAGAAATGGGGTCTTGCTATGTTCCCCAGGCTGGTCTCAAACCTACCAAAGTGCTGGGATTATAGGCGTGAGCCACCGCACCTGGCCTCTTATCAATTTTCAACTCATAGTTTCAAGCAAATCAGGCATCTACCATCATCTTCTCATGGAACAGTATAGAGTCACTTCGGCAAAGTATTATAGCTTAGTTTTTTTGGTTTGATTAGAAGTAGGGTGCTAAATTATGACCTCATAGTCTAACATTTCCAAACAATAAATTATTTTACAGAATGGATTTTTCTTAAGCAATAAAACTTATTTTTAAACAATTTAATGGAAATCTTTTCAAAAAATGTATTATTTATATCAGTGTTCCTCAACCTTTTTGGCACCAGGGACAGGTTTTGTGGAAGACAATTTTTCCATGGAACTGTGGAAAACTCGGGGGAGGAGGGGATGATTTCCGGATGAAACGCTTTCACTTCAGATCACCAGGCATTAGATTCTCATAAGGATTGCACAGCCTAGATCCTTCACATGTGCAATTCACAATAGGGTTTGCACTCCTATGAGAATCTAATGCTGCTGCTGATCTGACAGGAGGTGGAGCTCAGGTGGTAATGCTCGCCCACCACTCACCTCAGTTCCTAACAGGCCACAGATCAGTACTTGTCTGCAGCTCAGGGGTAGAGTATCCCTGATCTATATAACTTCTGCTTTCTCAAACAGCATTAACTGAACAGAATTTATCTTTACATAAGGGTGATTCAGGTAACCACCTTAAAAGGTGGTGTCCTAGGAAATAATGAGATGTTCAGGAAGCTTTTGTTTATAGTGTTCCAAGAATACTGTCCTTCATATTAATTTTGATTGTTTTTCAGGATCACAGGTTGTAAATATTATTTATTTAGTCAATTTATTCAACAAATACTTAGTGTGAACCTATATGTACCAGGCACTGTGTTAGGCACTGAGATGCAGAAATGAGCAAAATCAGAAACAGTTCCTGCTTTCATGGAGTTCACGATCTAGGGAAAGATGCAGCAGTAAATGGATCATCACACTGATGAAAATAATATGTTCTACCATGAAAAGTGAGAGGAATGAACAGTATGTGGGCTTTTAAGAACTTATCAAGAGGGCTTTGACTTAAGGGAGTCAGGGAAGGTTCCCTAAGGAAGTGAAGATTGAGCTGAGATCTGAACAAAGGGTACGACTAAGTAGGGAAAAGGGTAAGGAAGATCATTTCTGGCAGGGGAAACAATATATGAAGGTCCCTTTGCAGGAGGGGGCAAATGCACTTGAGTAGCAGAAAGCAATCCAGAGTAGAGGTGGTGGAACAGGGAGCAGGAGGTGGCTCTGTGGGGCAAGATGAGATTGGCAAAGGTTAGCAGAGGTCAGATTACATGGGGCCTCATGGGCCATGTTAAAATTTTTGTTTCAATTCTTATCCTAAGAGGAATGCAAAGTCATTGCATTTTAGGTGACAAGTAATCAAAACTAGGTATGGCAACATGACTCTTGAGCCACACAGTAAAGAAAATATAGGTAGGCCACAGTGGAGAACAAAATGTAAGTAGTACCTACCCACTCTCCCACTTTGCAAATAAGCCAGGTGAAGTAATTTGGCAGCTATGGGTTTGATCTGCCTTTGCCAGTGAGATCAGCAATTTTGGTCTGTGGAGGACACAGTAGATTCTACGGGATTAGCCTCTGGAATTCCAGTCGCGAATACCAGAGGATACTTTGCAATTAATATAGTGGAGTTTGTCAGTACCTTTTTCAGATATGCTTTATCATCTGCCACAATCTCTATTACTCACTTTCATTGTTTCGGGAAATCTAAAATTTACTGAAGACATCTTTTACCTGAGACAATGTGCAGCAGTCAGAATCCAACAGCCACCAATATAAATTCCCCCACAGGTGATTCCACTGGCATCCTTAATTGCCACCTGCCATGGGAGGTCTCCCTGTAAAAGACATTTGTGTGGTCACTGCCATTCTAACAGATAGCGATACAAACAGCCCTAAGATATTTCCATGGCAAGACTCCCAGTCTCTTATAATTACATCATCCTCCTGCCCCTTTCCCCCCAAATTTAGGCTGTTTCTGGGCAGTTGCATTGTGACTTTTCATGCGACTTTACCAGTTGTGCTCGCTTTCCTCCCACAATTCGTTTCCTTCGAATGTGCATTCTGTTTTTAACTCCACAAGATAGTTTAGGTAATAATGATTTTATCCGTCTTCTTTCTTCAAGAAAGGAAGAGATTACATCATTATTATCTTGAACCCATTAGCGTTTTTAACACACTTCTTGATTATCTATGCCACAAAAACAGGAGAGTCACAGCCAGTACAAGACAGGCTGGAATCATTAGTAAATTATTTTGAATGCTAAACCATACTATTCATCTTATTTAAAAATTCTGGCTTGATATTAAAATTGGCTTGATTCTCTGAAGTTCTGCCTAAAGATAGACTAGTGGCAGAAAAGGGCTGGCCAAGAGGTTAAACATTTACCAGCCTCTAGCTGATAAAGGATGCCACATGTCCAGGCACTGTGGCAGTGGCAGCTCAGAAGGGAATCACATTCTGAAATCATCAGGGTAAACTAACAACATGGCAAACTGTGTCTTTTCTTTTCTTTCTTTCTTTTTTTTTTGAGATGGAGTCTCAGTCTTGTGCCCAGGCTGGAGTGCAATGGCACGATCTCAGCTCACTGCAACCTCCGCCTCCCGGGTTCAAGGGATTCTCCTGCCTCAGCCTCCCAAGTAGCTGGGATTACAGGCGCCCACCCCCACGCCCAGCTAATTTTTGTTTTTTTAGTAGAGATGGGGTTTCACCATGTTGGCCAGGCTGGTCTCGAACTCCTGACCTAATGTGATCTGCCCACCTCAGCCTCCCAAAGTGCTGAGATTACAGGGTGAACCACCACGCCCAGCCATAGTTTTTATTTTCTAGAGGCTGTTTATATGGAACTCTTATATTAATATCAATGTTAACATAGTGATACTCTTATTAAGTACTTTCTATATGTCAGGCCCCATACTGAGTCTTTGTATATAGTTTATCTCATTTAATCATCCTATTAACCCTGAGAGATGATGTGCCAGTGACCCCGGGACAAGTGGGTTAGCGGGCTGGGGAGTGTTTTTTAGCCATTTGACATGTGACAATGTTTCCTTCCTCTGTCTGTGAGCATGCAGACGTCTGGCGCATTTGTCATGAGAAAACACGGTAGAGCAAAGTTTATGACCTGAATTTTCCAAAGAATTTATGATGACTGAAGAAAGTAAAATATATCCCTTTATTTCCTCTCTATATTTTAACATGTCATGAAAATTTTTGTAAACTTGCTTCTTAGCCCCAGATGAGAAAGGAAAATGAATATTGCTGTTAATAATTTTGGGCATACCGAAAGGAGTTAGGCCCCCAAGAAAGAGCCGTTGTTGTATGGAGGCTAAAGCAACTTCATCTTGGATACTAATCTGCCATGTTAGCTTCTGATTAACCCCAATTCCGGGAAGGCCTCTGAGATTTCCAGTTTATCTATTATTCCTTGTATAAGAGCATGTACTTACTATAAATCCTGGCCTTATGGCAAATTCCTACCCATTAGCTCTGAAGCCTGTGTGCCCCTCCCCTACAGTATATAATCTCTGAGTCGGGAGAGAACTAGCACAAGGATCCACCATCTTGTCTCACTGTTGTCCAGGACACAGACCTGGCTTCCATTAGTAAGTCCCTATTAAATGTTTCTTTCTAAGGAACTGGACATGTCAGCCTCTTTGTTTGGCCTCTCAGCTTCCTTAGACTTTGGGGGCTGATTTGTGTGAACCTGCCCACTGTGAAACACATGGATAGAAGATGGTTTTTTTTGGTCTCACCCATCCTAAGAACTGGGGTGGGGGAAGAGTGTGATGGTAAGTTTTTGCTTACACTTTTGAAGGAAGAGGGATCTCATGCTCTGAGGACTGTGAAACCAACTTAGGTAGTATCTGAAAATGAATGTTATTCTGAGTAAAAATAAAGGGCCATTGTTGAAAATGCCTTTTGACTAACATCTATAGCTTCGAGAGCTA
Organism: Homo sapiens; assembly: GCF_000001405.40. Classification (NCBI taxonomy): domain Eukaryota; kingdom Metazoa; phylum Chordata; class Mammalia; order Primates; family Hominidae; genus Homo; species Homo sapiens. Next base: position 109,751,435 of record NC_000004.12, read on the forward strand.
AATCTTTTTTTTTTTTTTTTTTTTTGAGATGGAGTCTCACTCTGTTGCCCAGGCTGGAGGGCAGTGGCACAATCTTGGTTCACTGCAACCTCCACCTCCCGGGTTCAAGCGATTCTCCTGCCTCAGCCTCCTGAGCACCTGGGATTACAGGCACCTGCTACCATGTCTGGCTAATTTTTATATTTTTGTAGAGATGGGGTTTCACCATGTTGGCCAGGCTGGTCTTGAACTCCTGACCTGAAGTAATCCGCCTGCTTTGGCCTCCCAAAGTGCTGGGATTACAGGCCTGAGCCACTGTGCCCAGCCTTAAATCTTTTACTCATTGCCTGATTTTTAAAGATTGTTACTTAATTTTGGTTACTGACAATTAGAAAGAAGTCTACATGAACTTCATTTAAAAATCCCACTGAAACAGGGAGCTATTTTATTCCCAATTTGTATTTGAGGTTGAGTTACTCTCTTAAGTTTTTATAGCTAATACATAACTGAGTCAGAATTTAACGTAAGTCTGTCTGACTAGAAATCTCTAATCAATTGCTATCTTCCCAGGAACTTAATACTTTAATTTAATTTGGCTTTTAGCGCACAACTGGCCAAGGTACAGATCTTCAAAGGTCTCCTATTACCGTGATTTAAAACATTGTGAAAGAATGGTTAATTCAATTAACATCTATTATTTTTTCTATTTCAAAAAATTATGTCATGAGTCATGCTTGAGAGCTGCTTGTTTTTTCACAAAACTGACCTGACAAAGTTCGTTTTAAATAGAAAAAGCTTATGTATGATTGGAGTATTGTTTTCATTTCAAAATTAGCCATATGAATTAATCCAGTTTTAAAAGCAATTCTCAAGAATCATTTAAGCTTGCTTTTCTTAAAAGTGACAGAGAAAGGAGAATAATAATGTTATATTTTTTAATTTAAATTGATACCAAAACTACTTGTTGCTTGAATCAATTATATATATGCAAATGACACTGAAATTACAGCCTAAACCAGTGAGCCACCAATAAAAAAGTATAACGTTAGCTTACCTGCATCCATGTCAGCAGTCAAAATTTCTGTTTCTTCTATGATAAAACAAAAGATTCCAATGTTTAAAGTTGTTAATTATAGTCAAAATGAAATCATTAAAATCATTTAAACACTGATTATAATTTTCTGCCTTAAAACTTATCCTCCCTTTTATAAAGAACTGTACAAAATCCCCAAGGCATGTCATCTTATTTCCTTTCTATAATTAGGTAATTGTAAAGGCTCAAGATGCACTGTATAGAAATTCTTGCTGGCACAAACTAGAGATATCTGTTGGTACTAGTGAATGTTGAGACTCATGGTGTCACAGTTTCCAGTAGTTAGAGCACGCAAAATGCACAGCCCAGAAGAGGAAGGCTTCTATTTCAACTCTCTGCATCCCCAGGGTGTTTTGTATATATATATAAAATATTATATAATATATATTTATTATATAAATAAATATTTATAATATATATTTATTATATAAATAAATATTTATAATACATATTTATTATATATTTATTATATGAATAAATATTTATAATATATATTTATTATATATTTATTATATAAATAAATATTTATAATATATATTTATTATATATTTATATATAAATAAATATTTATAATATATATTTATTATATAAACAAATATTTATAATATATATTTATTATATAAATAAATATTTATAATATATATTTATTATATAAATAAATATTTATAATATATTTATTATATAAATAAATATTTATAATATATATTTATAATATATTTATAATATAAATAAATATTTATAATATATATTTATTATATAATAAATATTTATAATATATATTTATTATATAATAAATATTTATAATATATATTTATTATATAAATATTTATAATATATATTTATTATATAATAAATATTTATAATATATATTTATTATATAAATATTTATAATATATATTTATTATATAAATAAATATTTATAATATATTTATTATATAATAAATATTTATATATATATTTATATTAATAAATATTTATAATAAATATTTATAATATATTTATTATATAAATAAATATTTATAATAAATATTTATAATATATTTATTATATAAATAAATATTTATAATATATATTTATTATATAAATAAATATTTATAATATATATTTATTATATATTTATTATAATATGTATAATTTTATATTATATATTATATAATGTATAATTTTATATTATATATTATATAATGTATAATTTTATATTATATATTATATAATGTATAATTTTATATTATATATTATCTAATGTATAATTTTATATTATATATTATCTAATGTATAATTTTATATTATATATTATCTAATGTATAATTTTATATTATATATTATATAATGTATAATCTTATATTATATATTATATAATGTATAATTTTATATTATATATTATATAATGTATAATTTTATATTATATATTATCTAATGTATAATTTTATATTATATATTATATATTTGATATTTTTATCAAATATGTATTTTAAAATATATATATATATATTTTGAGACGGAGTCTCACTCTGTTGCCCAGACTGGAGTGCGGTGGCACGATCTCGGCTCACTGCAACATCCGCCTCCCAGGTTCAAGCGATTCTCCTGCCTCAGCCTCCCGAGTAGCTGGGATTACAGGTGTGCGTCACCATGCCCGGCTAATTTTTGTATTTTTAGTAGAAACAGGGTTTTACCATATTGGTCAGGCTGGTCTTGAACTCCTGACCTCGTGATCCACCCGCCTTGGCCTCCCAAAGTGCTGGAATTACAGGTGTGAGCTACTGTGCCTGGCCTCCCAAGGTGTTAACATAAGGTAGGGAGCAGTCATCAGCACTAGCCAAGGGAGTCCTGAGCTGACATGAAAAAGGCTCCTCTCAGTTTGTACAGGTATGGGTTAGCATTAGGCATCTGGGATGCAGAAGTTAAAAAAAAAAAAAAGAATCTTCTTTTTTTTTTTTAGATTTTTTTCTTGAAGTTATACCAGATGTTTTCATCTTTGCTCTGCCATTCTAGAACATTTCTGTGTTCTAGATTTCTTTGACCTGGGGATCTGAAGGTGAATTCCCACCAACATGTTGCTCTGTCATGGATGAGGATATGGCTGGGGATCACATAGCCCAGAATGGCAGCGTCACTTTGCTGCAATCCTGTGTCTTCTCACTGAATTTGCTAAGTTCTCTTTGGGACAGGCATATGAGTGTTTGTTATGCCACACACCTAAGTTGTTTTCTGGGGTAGAGAGAGGCTCTGCTCAGATGCATTCACAAAAGCACGCTTGTGAATCAGAGAAGACTCAAATATTCACATTCAATGCCCAACAAAGGAAGATGAGAAAGTCCAGTGTAGCTGAGGTGTACTAGGTATTAGAAGAACAGCACTAACTTGATTTAATATAATCAAAGCTGAGGTGTACTAGGTATTAGAAGAACAGCTAGTACACCTTTGATTATATAAAAATTATGGATTTCTATTCAACAAATCTCACATGGATAGAGTTCACAGATGAGAGACAGCATGGAAGAAGGTATCTGTAATGTTTAAAACTGACAATGGACTAATTTGTAGACTGTAAAAGGAACCCTTGCAAATCAGTAAGAAAGATTACAATGAAAGAAATATAAAATTGAGCAAAGGATGTGAACCAGTGAAAGAACAGAGAAAAGGAAGATGAAACTAAAAAGCTAGTATGCACATGAAGAGAAACTCAGAATCATTGGTTAATATAAAAATTGAAGTTAATAAACAATGCCATCACTTGACAGCTGGAGAAACACGCTTGATGTTGGTGGGGTTGAAGAAAACCCGCAGGCATTATTGGTGGAAGTAAGGACTGGTATATAACAGCACTGCCAAAGAACATACAGGCACTAGTAATCAAATTAAGGATATGCATACTCTAAGATTCAACTTGCTACTATGGTTTGAGTGTGTTCCCCAAAGTTCATGTGTTGGAAACTTAATCCCCAACACAACAGTGTTGGGAAGTGGGGCCTAATAAGAAGGGATTAGGTCATGAGGGCTCTTCCCTCATTAATAGATTAATGTCGTTATCTCAGGAGTGGGTTAGCTGTAGTGAGAGTGGGCTTGTTATATACAAAAGTGAGTTCGGACTCCTCTTGTTCCGTTGCTCTCTTGCCCTTCAACCTCCTGCCATGGGTGATGGAGCAAGAAAACCCTTGACAGATGTGGGACCTGCGACCTTGGACCTCACAACCTCCAAAACTGTAAGAAATAAATGTATTTTCTTCATAAATTACCCCGTCTGTGGTATTGTGTTATAGCAAGACAAAAGAAGACACTTGCCCAGCTAGATGCCTCGAAGAAATCCTCCCACACATACTTAAGGAGAGGATATTCATCACAGTATGATTGTGGGCTGAAAGTCCATTACTGAGAAAGTGGAGAGTAAATTGTGCAAGATAAACACAGTGGAGTATTTTATACAGCAGTTAGAAGCAACAAATTAGATGAACACACAGTAACATGGACAGGTCTTTAAAATGTAATGAGTTGTGAAAAGAAAAAAAGGAAATAGAGATCTACAACACAATACTATGTGAGTAAAAAATGTATGCTTGCAAAATAACAATACACATTGGATAAGAATGCATGCAAACAAAAAAACGTACATATTAAACCACTGAAAAATGGTTGCCTATTGGGGAAGAGGAATGGGAGTAAGGTATAGTGATAAAGAGGGATAAATGAGTCAAACAAGACAGGGGCCTTGCTTGACCCCTGATGATCATGTATAAGGAGCTGAGGAGTATCATTAACTCATCACTTTGCCTCTGAGATCTGAAACTAGGGAGGGAGGAGGAAGGAAAAGAGGAGGGAGGGAGGGAAAAAAGGAATAGAGAAGAAGCAGCAGGAGGAGGAGGAGGACGAGGGAAGAGATGGAAGAAGAAGGAGAAAAGAAGAAGAGAAAAGAGGAACAAGAAGAAGAGGAAGAAGGAGGAGGAGGAGGAAGAGGAGGAGGAGGAACAGCAGCTTCAGAGGGCAAAATGACAAGTGAGAGAATGCAATGAAATAATAGGCATTTAGAGCAAAGGGTGGTCTTGAGCTAGCCAGTCCCTCAGGAATCCTAAGAAATCCTGAGGAGGTGGCTCACGCCTGTAATCCCAGCACTTTGGGAGGCCGAGGCAGGTGGATCACGAGGGCAGGAGTTCAAGATCAGCCTGGCCAAGATGGTGAAACCCCATCTCCACTAAAAATACAAAAATTAGCCAGGTGTGGTGGCACGTGCCTGTAATCTCAGCTACTCGGGAGGTTGAGGCAGAGAATTGCTTAAACCCGGGAGGTGGAGGTTGCAGTGAGCCGAGATCAGGCCACTGCACTCCAGCCTGGGCTACAAGACCGAGTACAAGACCGAGACTCCGTCTCGAAAGAAAGAAAGAAAGGAAAGAAAGAAAGAAAGAAAGAAAGAAAGAAAGAAAGAAAGAAAGAAAGAAAGAAAGAAAGAAAGAAAGAAAGAAAGAAAGAAAGAAAGAAATTCTGAGGAGGATCATGAACTTTGACGTTATATGAACTGGGGATATGAGTCATTTTACATTTACATTTACATGACTCCAGCTCTGTCGCCCAGGCTGGAGTGCAGTGACGCGGTCTCGGCTCACTGCAAGCTCCGCCTCCCGGGTTCACGCCATTCTCCTGCCTCAGCCTCCCAAGTAGCTGGGACTATAGGCTCCCGCCACCACGCCAGGATAATTTTTTTTTTTTGTATTTTTAGTAGAGATGGGGTTTCACCGTGTTAGCCAGGATGGTCTCAATCTCCTGACCTCGTGATCCACCCGCCTTGGCATCCCAAAGTGCTGGGATTACAGGCTTAAGCCACCGCGCCCGGCAGTTTACATGAATATTTTTAAAAAGGGTGGTCCCAAAGAGCTAGAGCATTTGGGGACATCTGACTGATAGAAGTAAATAAGAAAATGCCTATCATGAAAAGATGTTATCTTTATTCAGGTGGCAATTTCTTGAGGAGCTACCTTGATTTTGAGAGAAAATGAAGAGAAAGGTATTCGGCAAAGGTGAAATGTGCAGGGAAGAGTCCACTCTGGATGGTGTTTTGGTCAGCAGGCTGTGGATGGGGTGTGTGAGAGTGAAAGTTTATCACACTGAGAAAAGGCCTCTACGCCTAAACTAATGTTCAGGCTGGGTTATTACTAAAATGTGGTCATATCATGCTCCATTAACAGTTACATTAAAATATAAGACCAAAGAACCTGAGTTTTGTTTCAATTTTTTAATATCCCCAAATTTTAATAAAAATTTTACCTTGAGTCACAGATGCAAAGCCTGAAGAAAACAAAAACAAAAAATTTATCAAAGGATAATTTTTGGAAAAAATGCACACTATAGCAATATACTATACATATATCATGAAAACCATTGCACCTTATTTCTGTTTTCTTCGGTAATATAATTTTTCTATTATAAAAATGATTTACCTTGAATTGTAGGATGTCTAGCTGCTAAAACAAAAAACAAAAAACTCACTATAGCAAAGAGATCATTTTGATTTGAATAAAATATGCACAAATTATTAAATTTCAGACTAGTACAACTTAATAGTTAGAAGCATTACTAAAATGCAAAGGCAGAGCTCATCCCTAAATAAGAGTAAACTGAAGTAACAATGATAGTTGGCTAAATGTGTTTTTGAAACAGATTTTAAAAAGATAAAAGGAGGTCAGGTGCAGTGGCTCATGCCTGTAATCCCAGCAACACGCCTTCTAAAGTGTTGGGATTACAGGCGTGAGCCACTGCACTTGGCTGGGGCAGGGATTTTTGAAATGTTATTCACTAATGGAACCCCACCACCTAGAGCAGGGACTGGCACACACAGTAGCAGCTGAATAAATATTCATCAAGTAAATGAATAAATATAACTTAAAGAGATTTTTCCTCCAGAAAGCACTGATGGAAGCAAAGAGTCAGTCTGTATAGTCTAGAATAGGTACATAAGGAATATTTTTCACCATTGGAGGTTATCCAGAGCACCAACTCATTGCTTTGAAACTTGGTAAGTAAAAGGAAAAAATGAAGCATTATTCTGCCTCTCTATAGATTTCTAGTTAATAAGTGCAATAGGCATGATAAAATTAGAAATTGCCATTTTACAGCCCTATTGACAAAATGGACATAGGCAACAATTTAAAAGGCTGCTAAAACCATTAGGCAAAAGATTGTGGGGCACTTTGAAATGGACACACCAAGCTGATCAAGTAATCATCTTAGCATCACTAGAGGAGGGACAACCAGACAAGAAGACATTATGTGTAACAGGAAATACATGCAAGACTCATCAAGAATTCTTGCCTAAGGCCGGGCACAGTGGCTCATGCCTGTAATGCCAGCACTTTGGGAGGCCGAGGCAGGCAGATCACTTGAGGCCAAGAGTTCGAGACGAGCCTGGCCAATGTGGCGAAACTCTGTCTCTTCTAAAAACAGAAAAATTAGCCAAGCGTGATGGCACATGCCTATAATCCCAGCTACTCAGGAGGCTGAGGTGGGAGAATCCCTTGAACCCAGGAGGCAGAGGTTGCAGTGAGCCTACATTGTGCCACTGCACTCTAGCCTAGGCAATAAAGCAAGACTCTGTCTCAAAAAAAGAAAATAAAAAGAATTCTTGCCTAAAATATTAAACCTTGCTCTTAAAAAAAAGTGTTCATTTGTCATTGACTCGAAGCTCAAAACCTTGGTTATAATCAAGTCTCTCTAAATCTAGAATAGACGTATACTATAGGCAAACGACTCAGTTTCTCTAAAAAAAAAAAAAATAATAATAGTATGAAAAAAATTGGGGTAGGGAGGTGGGGAAGATAACTCTTGATGAATAAAGAAGACTTTAAAAACGTAATAACCAAACAGAACATTCAGATTCTTTTAGATCCTGATTTGAATCTATTCATTCAAAAAAGACATTTTTGAGATAGTTGAGAAAATTTGAACATGGCTGTTATTAAATGACGTTAGTGAATTACTATTATAGTGAATTATTATATCTAACATAGATTTTAGATATACAAATGAGAGAATGAATGGTTTTATATATATATAGTGTTTTTATCACTGGAGATGCATATAAATGATGTGATATGATATCTAAAATTTACTTTAAAATACTGCAACAGGCCAGGTGTGGTGGCTTATGCCTGTAACCCCAGCACTTTGGGAGGCCAAGATCATCTGAGGTCAGGAGTTTGAGACCAGCCTGGCCAACATGGTGAAACCCTGTCTCTACTAAAATACAAAAATTAGCCAGGCATGGTGGCAGGTGCCTGTAATCCCAGCTACTTGGGAGGCTGAGGCAGGAGAATCACTTGAACTCAGGAGGTTGAGGTTGCAATGAGCCAAGATTGTGCCACAGCACTCCAGCCTGGGCAACAGAGCAAGACTTCATCACAAAAAAAGTAATAGTAAATAAAATAAAATACTCCAACAAACATACAAACAAACAAACTGGAAGAGAGATAAGCAAGATTGGCAAACTATCAATAACTTGCAGGTGGAAAATGGGTACTTAAGGATTGGTTCTAATGGTCTATTTTTTGTATGTGCAGTGAGACCGTCTTTTAATAGAAAGTTCTGAAATAACAAGTAGATATTTAGCGGATGAAAATATGAGGAGATGAACATTCCATAGTTCTGCAAATGCCCACTCAGTGTTCTTACTGCTACACCCATCTATGTTCCCCTTAAGATTATACTTTACCTAAAGAAAAGTTTCAGAATCCCTGGATTCAATAATGAAAAAAAGTCACCCCAAGTCTTTCAATTACCTGCACAGCCAACTTCATCTTCCCCTGTAATGCAGTCCACCTCACCATTGCATTGATACTGGCTTGGAATGCAAACACCCGATTTGCAATGGAAGCCTTTGCCTTGGCATGCTGTGCAAACATAAGCAGGAGAGGTTTTTTTCATTCCTTAAAGTTGAATGAGGTACAATATAAAATTCAATAGTAAAGTTGCTTTTCCTCTTTTAGTCAGAAAAATGAATTTAGAGGATTTAGAGGCTAGATTTATGTCTACCTTTACAACACAGTTCATCACTTTGGTCTCCACAATCATTGATACCATCACAGGCTTTCATCTGAGAAATGTATTTCCCATTCACACACTGAAAGAAGTCATCCATTGGAGAATCTGTAAAGCAGGAATTATCTTTGTGAAATTTATTTATGGAGTGGTGGCATGACATCCTTATCAGATTTTTGGGATAATGGAGTCATTAAGAGAAAGTTAAACTTCAAAAAAATGTATAAAACGTATTGGTATTATCAACATAGTACATATGACTCATACAGAAAATAAAGGTCAAACCTGGCTTATGGAGGCTCTTCTATTATCTCTGAAAGTCAGTATTAATTGTGAAAGTCTATATTTGCTGAGATGGGGAGGAATCAAGAGTACGTGCTGACATTGACAAACACTGGTTTCCACCCATTTCTTTCATGCTGCTATACTCATCCTCACCCCTACTCCCAAGACTTGCTTGGTTAGTGCCATTTGTTTACATTTTGGTGGTACTTTTTTTTAGCACTGAAAAGGAGTGGGTATAGGTTTGGTCTTTAAAACTACATGTATGACTAAAATATTCCAGTGTCAGGAAGGAGGAGAAAAGTCTCAATGAATGCCTGAAAACTGAGGCACCAATGTGGTCACTTAAAGGTTTTAAATAAATTCATATATGCTGGCCCTCTTAAAGGAGATGCTGAGCTTTCTTCTTATGTTTGATTGACTTGTGTTTGCTACAGTAACTTTAATCCAGATGTTCAAATGAAGCAAGGGGAGTCAGGCAACTTTGCTTCCCATATGTGAACCTGTAGAGAGGCAATGTTTGAATGGCAAAATGGTACAATAGGGGAAAGGTACCAATTTAGACTCTAAAGCCCAAAACTTGACAGAATCTATATTATTGCCTCTGTGACTGGCAACGAGGCATCAATCATTTGTTTACTATAGGCTTGGTGTAAAATAAACAACCTTCAAGGAAGGGAAAATAACAGGCAAATACTCCACCAACCTGCTTTCTGTGTATAACAAACCACATCAGCGAAATCCTGGTAACCCATAGTTCTTCTCTTAGTAAAAGTACATTCAGCCAAACTGGTCTCTAATCCTCGGCAATGCACATGTAGACATTCAGTGGAATTTATAGAGAGATCAGACAACTTAAACCTTCTTTGAGTATCAGCACCTCTGCAAATAGAATAAAGGAAACATTATGGTAGAATAATTAGTACTTTGCATTTATAACCCTACTGTAGCAGGTAAGAAACTAGAGTAATGTCCTCTCATTCTCTATATAGGAGTTACAGCTTGGGCAAGATACCGAAACTCTGAGCCTCAGTACCTTCATCTATAAAAGGGAATATAACTACCTCACTGGGTTTTGTAAAGATTAACTAAAACTTGGCTGGGGGTGGTGGCTCACGCCTGTAATCCCAGCACTTTGGGAGGCCAAGGAGGGTGGATTACCTGAGGTCAAGAGTTCGAGACCAGCCTGGCCAATATGGTGAAAATCCTATCTCTACCAAAAATACAAAAATTAGCTGGGTGTGGTGGCCTACACCTGTAGTCTCAGCTATTCGGGAGGCTGAGGCAGGAGAATCACTTGAACCCAGGAGGTGGAGGTTGCAATGAGCTGAGATCGTGCCACTGCACTCCAGCCTGGGCAACAGAGTGAGACTCTGTCTAAAAAAAAAAAAAAAAAAAATTTCCATCTTTTCCTTTTGGGAATCTCTCTGCCTGCCCCATGCTGTAAACTTTAGCTGGTTGGTTCAATTATTGCCTAAGACTTGGAAGGTTAGGTTAGTTTAATTCCTGTAGGTCAATTTTGCTTTTACAGTAAGCTACATCTTCACTTCAGCCTTGACAGTATTAAGGTGATATTTTGGCATCTGTGTGCCATTGCTTGGACTTCTCAATTTGCTCAGAATTTGTGAGAAGAGACTTCCTCAGTGACGTATTATCCTAGAGATGATGATTTACAGTGAACTATTCTTCTAGGACATTCAATTGTTCCTTGCTTCTCTCTAGAAGTAAATGGGGAAAATAGGTTAAAAATAAAAAATTGAGCAAAGATGCATCAGGTAAATGGAAACAAAAATAGAACAGTAATGACAATATAAATATTAGACTAACTAGGATAAAAAGCAAAAATAAAACAAGGTGAAGCCAAGATTTGTAATTATTTCAGATCATGAGGCTGTGCCATGAGAACAAACAAGAGCCATTTGAGGCAATCTTATAGGTTAATAATCTGAAAAACGTACCAACCTAAAAATATCTAAAAATACTATATAAAATGCCATCTTCTTCCTCAATGAGTTCTTAAGGAAGTAAGGGAAATCTGCACTGGTTAAAATTAGAGATGTCTGTTCATGAGCTTATGCAAAATATAAGAGCAAAATACTGAGAAATAAAATACTGAGAGAATCTACCAGTAGGTTGAACCATAAGTTGTAGGTAACAAACTGCTGAAACTCAGAAATAGCCTATGGCTTAATTTAACAATATAAGAGACTCTCACTAATGAACTACTAGCAGATGTGGTTTAAGAAGAAGAAAATTGAATTCAGAAAGAAGGGGTGAGATACAAGAAAGAACAAACCAAGAAGTTGGTAAACATGAAGTAAATCTGAGTAAGCATTGCCTTAATAGTAGTGATAATGGCTTATTATATCATCATAGTGATTAACTTCTGGGATATAGAAAAATAAGGTGGAACTAAATATTAGAAACTTGATGGGTTAATTACATTTTTTTCTATTATTACTGAAGGTGAGGACTTCCTAAATCAATGATTTATGGTATAAGTTCAAAGGTAACTAAAGAAGTAGAAATATAATGCATAATTTTCAAACCAACTAGAGGTGGAAAAGAGGAAAGATTTTTAAAAATCTTTAATTTAGTAGAAATTATAAAAGGAAAAAGGACAAAAGCACACAAAAAGCAGGGTAAATAATAAGCCTAAAAACAAGAGGAAAAATAAATTCAACAATGTAAGTAAGTATAATAAGGTAAATGGACTAAACTCTTTAGTTAACAGTGATTGTAATATTGAATTAAAACAAATCTAGATATGTGCTGTTTATAAGGAACATGCTTAAAATCTAAAGATATAGGAAGACTGAAAGTAAAGAAATAGAGAAAGATCTAAACAGAGCAGCTAATTCTATTAATAATGAGTAACATATCTATTATCTAGAACCCTGCACGTGGAGCATTTGAAAAATACTCAGCCACAAAGCAAGTCTCAACAAATATTTGAAAAAATTGTTATCATACAGGGATATTCTCTAACCACACAGAATAAGAAAATCAATAACACAAAGTTAACCAAAAGCAAACTAACGTATTAATTAAAACTAATATTATAATAAAGAAAACTTCTAAATTACATATGGGGCAAAGAAGAAATTATATTGAAAGTTAGAAGATATTCTGAACCAAACAATAAATAAAATATCACTTATATATAAGTATATATACTATAATTATAGTATATAAGCTATATATAAATTATAGTTTGTACACTATACTCATAGTATATATACTTATATACTATAATTATAGTAAACTATACTATAAAACTATAAACTATAATTTATCCTAACTATATAGTTTATACTATAACTGTATAGTTTATACTCACTGTATAGTTTATAGTATAAACTATATTATATAACTATAAACTATACTCACACACAGTATATAAACTATACTAAGTGTGAAAAAGTGTACATAATTGTAGACGAGTAGGAGACAGACAGAAATGAATGTGTTTGTGACTCTCAGAATCACTAAAGGATTCACATCCAGATACTTCAACAGACTTATTATCCATGCTTTGTTGTCAGCAGGGTTCCAAGTGTTGGGTAAACATGAATGCATATCATCCTCATAACAATGCTATGATGCACATAGTTAATTTTCTTAGGTTACACATATGGAAATTAATACACAGAAAGGTTAGGTAATCAAAAAGCAAACAGAACAATTAAATCAGCCATGAGAAAATCCACTGATACAAGCGCTCACTGTTGAAACCCAAGGTCAAGGCAGGCCACGTTGGCTTCCCTCATGCTCCAGCTGCTTTTGCATATGAACATTGTCTTATCTTGGTCCACAAGTTTTACTTCAACTATTCCCTCTGAATCTGTATTTCCATGCTTCAAGGAAACACTAAACTTTCCTAAAATAAAAAAACAAAATAATGTGCAATATGTAGCCATTCACTTTTTTCTCTTAATTAAAAGTCTTTAAAAATAATAATGTACTTAATGTCAAGTGAGCTTTGAACATCATGACGATTTTAACAAGTAATAGTAAGCAATCATTTTACGAGTATTTATTATGTGTCAGCGGCAGTGCTATTCAGCTGTATAGAGGATCATTAAATACTCACATCAACCCTATGAGGATAAAGCCTATTTATTCCCATTTTTACACAAGGAACCTCTAGGGGAAGTTAAGTTCCTGGCCCAAGTGATGAAGCCAGGATTTGGAACTTGCTCAGTTGATCTCACTCCAAAGTCCATGCTCTCAAAAGTAAGCCCAACCGTGAAAATGTAAAATGTAGAAAGGGTTTATGTATTCTCGTGTATTTAAGGCATTTAATGCCTCAAGAGAAGAAAAGTCTGACACTGATGAAATAACCTCCACTATTGCCTTCTGCCTTTCCAACAGGGATGATAGATGAGCTCAAACAGGGAGCTTTTCCCCTCCTTTTCCACAGTATCTCAACATCTTAACTCAGCATCTCAAAAACATACAGGCTGCTGTGAGCTGATATATGTCATGGTGCCTTTAAAAAGAATGTTTTAAGCATTCCTTAGGTAATGAAGTGTCTGTAATAACTTGCTATCAGAAGACAATGAACCTAAGCTTTGCTGTCAGACATAAAATGTAACAAGCACTTTCTGCATGCCAAGCACTGTGTGAAGAGCCCTGCATACATTGTTTTATTTAATTTTCACAAGAATTGTACAACTTAGAAACTTCACATTTTACAGATGAGGGAACTGGGGTCCAGTGAGGTCCAGCTTGTCAACAACCAAGGTGGGGTTTGGAGGGACTTGAAACTCAATTGGACTGACAGCGAAATCCCTAATCATAACTACCCACTAGTCTGAATGCTAGGGCCCCAGCCTCCTCAGCACATGAAGCACCTGGAAGGGACTGTAGACAAGATCTCTGGGTCTGACGTCTGGGTTTGCTAGGTTGGAGTATGTCCCAGGTCAGCAGTGGCTCAAGCGGCCCTTGGATATTTAGGAACAATGGGGTCAGGGCTGGGGGAGAGGGTTGGGGGGGACGGCTGTTGAAAGAAATTATTGGGGTAGGCCACGCATGGTGGCTCATGCCTGTAATCCCAGCACTTTGGGAGGCCGAGGCGGGCGGATCACAAGGTCAGGAGATCGAGACCATCCTGGCTAACACGGTGAAACTCCATCTCTACTAAAAACACAAAAAATTAGCTGGGCATGGTGGCAGGCACCTGTAGTCCCAGCTACTCAGGAGGCTGAGGCAGGAGAATGGCATGAACCCGGGAGGCAGAGGTTGGAATGAGCCAAGATCACACCACTGCACTCCAGCCTGGGCAACAGAGCCAGACTCCGTCTCAAAAAAACAAAACAAACAAAAACAGAAATTACTGGGGCCACAGGAGGACCTGAGGCCTGACTAGACTACATGTGAGTACCAACCTTACTGGAAGACTTTTCACTGGGTTCTGAACCAACTCAATGGCCCTGGGAATAATCCCTTTAACCAAGTAGAAGTGAGGGTGGGGACAATTCTAAAGGGCTGGGCAGCAGGGAGTGGCACCGGCACTGAAGGAAGGTCTGGACTCAGCATCCCACGCTCTGCACTCAAAGGCTGGCTGGATTCTGGCAACCCCTGATTTGTTTAGTGATTACTCCAATTATTATTGAGAGTCTAGAAAAAAATTTTGAGTTGTCATCATAACATACACAAGAGAATTATTTTCTGATAGAAAGTATGGCATACAAATACCCTTTTATATCATAGAATGACTTGAAAACTAGTCTCTTGCTACCTTCGGCTGTGCATGTTCCGTTATTTAAAAACTTTGTCCCTGGATGAAGACATTCCAAACTCTTTTGTTGACAGTATGTTGGGAAGCTTCTCCTGTTAGTTGCACACACTGCAGTGCCATTCTTTGGGCACTGATACGGTAGTTTACAAACACAGGTGCCCTCAATGCATCTCTGCCATGGCTGGCAGAAGACTTTATCGCAGGAGAGGTGAGTATATTTTTTTGCTAAGCACTTTTTCTCCACCAGATCCTCTTGAGATGTATAAGTGACCTGTAAAATGCAAAATAAACATTAACTTAGCAACAAATTAAAGACTCCTGTTTGAAGATGAGTAAGTGAAGGAAAAGAGCAAAACAGATACAGCCCACAGTACAGATGAGGATGGTGTTGTCTGGTGGCTTCAAGAATCAGAAATAATGCCGCATATCTACAACCATCTGATCTTTGACAAACTTGACAAAAACAAGAAATGGGGAAAGGATTCCCTATTTGATAAATGGTGCTGGGAAAACTGGCTAGACATATGGAGAAAGCTGAAACTGGATCCCTTCCTTACACCTTATACAGAAATTAATTCAAGATGGATTAAAGACTTACATGTTAGACCTAAAACCATAAAAACCCTAGAAGAAAACCTAGGCAATACCATTCAGGACATAGGCATGGGCAAGGACTTCATGTCTAAAATACCAAAAGCAATGGCAACAAAAGCCAAAATTGACAAATGGGATCTAATTAAACTAAAGAGCTTCTGCACAGCAAAAGAAACCACCATCAGAGTGAATAGGCAACCCACAGAATGGGAGAAAATTTTTGCAATCTACTCATCTGACAAAGGGCTAATATCCAGAATCTACAATGAACTCAAACAAATTTACAAGAAAAAAACAAACAACCCCATCAAAAAGTGGGCAAAGGATATGAACAGACATTTCTCAAAAGAAGACATTTATGCAGCCAAAAGACACATGAAAAAATGCTCATCATCACTGGCCATCAGAGAAATGCAAATCAAAACCACAATGAGATACCATCTCACACCAGTTAGAATGGCGATCATTAAAAAGTCGGGAAATAACAGGTGCTGGAGAGGATGTGGAGCAATAGGAACACTTTTACACTGTTGGTGGGACTGTAAACTAGTTCAACCATTGTGGAAGTCAGTGTGGCGATTCCTCAGGGATCTAGAACTAGAAATACCATTTGACCCAGCCATCCCATTACTGGGCATATACCCAAAGGATTATAAATCATGCTGCTATAAAGACACATGCACACGTATGTTTATTGCGGCACTATTCACAATAGCAAAGACTTGGAACCAACCCAAATGTCCATCAATGATAGACCAGATTAAGAAAATGTGGCATATATACACCATGGAATACTATGCAGCCATAAAAAATGATGAGTTCATGTCCTTTGTAGGGACATGGATGAAGCTGGAAACCATCATTCTCAGCAAACTATTGCAAGGACAAAAAACCAAACACCACATCGTCTCACTCATAGGTGGGAATTGAACAATGAGAACACATGGACACAGGAAGGGGAACATCACACACTGGGGCCTGTTGTGGGGTGGGGGGAGGGGGGAAGGATAGCATTTGGAGATATACCTAATGTTAAATGACGAGTTACTGGGTGCAGCACACCAACATGGCACGTGTATGCATATGTAACTAACCTGCACATTGTGCACATGCACCTAAAACTTAAAGTACAAAAAAAAAAAAAAAAAAGAATGGTATGACTGCCATCTTGACCATGAAGAAATCCTAAAAAAAAAAAAAAAAAAAGAAAAAAAGAATCAGACAAACCTGGCTTCTAGACCCAGTTTTGGCACTTACTGTTACATGATGCAGGGCAAGTGACCCTCCTGAAACGTGAATTTCCTCATCGTAAAATGAGATAATATCTCCTATTTTGCAAGATTAGAAATACTATGTTTGTAATGGTTGACAGGTACTAGGCATAAAATTAATGAGAGCTATTATTACCCTGCAGGACTCCAGTAGAAATAATATGAGGGCTGGGAACAGGCCAATTGGGCCAAAAGCCAATCTGCGAAGAAAAGCCAATGCTGTCTCCCTGTCCCCCAGAGCTTCCTCCTGAGGATGCGCCTCCTGTCCTCTAGTCTCCCCTGCTGCCCGCAGTGAGCCCCGCTCCTTCCTCAGTGCCCTGTAGCTGTGAAGCATCAAGCTGGGGCAGACAAAAATCATAGTCTTTAAATGCCGTTAAGAAGGCAAATAAGCTAATTAAAACCATGCAAAACCTTGCAAGGATTGTCAAAGTCATTCTCCATAATTTGCTTTTCAATAAACTGTACAAATAGCTTTACACACACACACACACAAATGACAAATTGGTCATTCTGGAAACTGGCTTTTGACACAGTGATCTAGAATGAAATATGCCAGTTACGCACTTTTCATGGTTCCACGTATCTCTTTTTGGCACTTATTAGAGTTGGAATTTTTGTAATAATTTCTCTCCTGTATCTTCCACTGACCAGCTTGCAAGTGTCCTGACAGCAGGTTTTATTTATCACCTTTATATTGAAACAATGATGCTCTCATTGGATGAGAAATCCAAGCAACTTGATTTTTTTCTACCTTTATTCCTTTAAATCATTTCTGAAATCTCATTCCTCCTTGATCTTTGGATAGAAACTTTGGCAAGTGTCATAACTTTCTCAGTCACTCTTAGATTTAAACAAAAACAAAAAATTAAAGGATGTTTAGTTCCAGGAATAGTCACTAAATAGCAATGACAATGTCTAGTGCTGTGGAACCACTGAAGCTCTGACCTTCATGTCAGATGAAAGCCTCTCCTTCCTCTCAGCTCAGACTTGCTTCCAGGGTGTGTGATGGGTCCTTTCTGAGCTCTCCTCCATTCCACAGCTTTCAGGTCATGCTTTCCACCTCTCAGGAGAGGAAGAGAGGGACAGCAGCCGGGTCTCACCTGATTCTTACGGCTGAGAACTAGCCTTGGCAAGGTGGGGGTTAGAGCCAACTCTCTCATGCGGGGTACTATGAGGTTCTCTAGAGATTGCACTACTGGGGACATTTGATGTCAATTCACTCAATGCTGGCAGTACCTCTCCTCCAGCTGGCTGCTCATGGTCCATGTCTTCTCAGCTCCAGTATCCAACAGTACTAGCCCGTTTCTGCTGAGGTTGCTTACCTTTGGCAGGGAGCCTCTTGGGCAGGAGTCCTGTTTCCCTCCTGAGGACCCACACCTGTCTGTTGCCTGCCCTGCTGCCTACCATTGAAACAGGGCTTGCTCCAACACAGCCACCTCTTTTATCTCTGCCACCAGGCACCTCCAGCCTTGGGTCCTTATTCCTTTCAGGTATGGGTCAAGTACTAGTTCTTTTTTCTCCTCAGACTTCAGGGAACACATGTCAAGCACTCCAAGGGAACCTGTGGGAAGCCCTTTCACAATGAAGAGAAGCGGCAGCACCTTCCATCCTCTTTGCCTGGGGTGCAGGTGGGAGATGGAAGGGAAAACGCTACCTCACTCTGTTACATAAAATTACGGGAAGCCATTTTTTTAAACTGTACTCCTGCACCAAGCCCCAAAGACCAAACCAAAATGGAGTCACTTATGCTAAGTGGCATGTAATTAAACTGAAACTTTAAGGAAATGGGAAACCACACATTGGTGAGTTGAGGCTGGAATGGGAGGTGAGGAAGTGGAAGTAGAAGCTTGACTGGTTTTGACTAGGCACAGTGGCTCACGCCTGTAATCCCAGCACTTTGGGAGGCTGAGGTGGGAGGATCAGTTGAGGTCGGGAGTTTGAGACCAACCTGGCTAACATGGCAAAACCCCATCTCTACTAAAAATACAAAAATTAGCCAGGCATGATGGCACCTGTAATCCCAGCTCCTCAGGAGGCTGAGGTAGGAGAATCACTTGAACCCGGGAGGTGGAGTTTGCAGTGAGCGGAGACCGCACCACTGCACTCCAACCTGGATGACAGAGCGAGACTCCATCTCTAAAAAAAAAAAAAGAAAAAAAAAGAAACCGCTTTACTGGTTTTGCCATTTAGACATGAAAATATGAACACAGACCAGAAAAAAAAAAAAAAAAAAGAAAGTCTCTGTCTCCTCTCCAAGCTCTGTTAAATTGAGAATACAGGAATTTTTTTAAAGGGCATAAACCATAAGGTCAAAGAGAGTGGGGAGAGGACTGCAGGATATAAGATATCAAAATGTTGGAAGCTGGAAAACAGATGGGCTAGTGCTAATGGATTTAGCAGATCAAGGAGAACTGAAAGCTAAGCCCCACAGAACCCCAGAAAAGCTTAGGAACTGGGGGACCTAGTACCTCTGAAGAAGGAGTGGCTAACAAACAGGGAACTGGTTGAAAGAGATGGTTGTATGAACATGTTACTGAGGAATCTGTTGTAAACAGCAGAAGAAACAGCAAAGATTTGAAAGTGCTTGCCCCTGGAGAGAGAGTTAGGGGTGGGAGACGGGTGATAGGAGTGCTTTTCATTTTAAGTAAGATCTGATGTCCTTATGCTTTCAGTAGGGAAGTAGAAGATTAGGGCCAGGCGCAGTGGCTCATTCCTGTAATCCCAGCACTTTGGGAGGCTGAGGCCAGCGGATCATGAGGTCAGGAGTTCGAGACCAGCCAGGCCAGCATGGTGAAACCCCAACTCTACTCAAAATACAAAAAAAATAAAAAATAAATAAAAAAAATTAGCCAGGCAGGCTGTGCATGGTGGCTCATGCCTATCATCCCAGCACTTTGGGATGCTGAGGCAGGCAGATTGCCTGAGGTCAGCAGTTCGAGACCATTCTGGCCAACATGATGAAACCCCATCTCTACTAAAAATAAAAAAAAAAATCAGCTAGGCAGGCTGTGCACAGTGGCTCATGCCTATAATCCCAGCACTTTGGGATGCTGAGGCAGGCAGATTGCCTGAGGTCAGCAGTTTGAGACCATTCTGGCCAACATGATGAAACCCCATCTCTACTAAAAATACAAAAAAAAAAAAAATTAGCCGGGCGTAGTGGTGTGTGCCTGTAATCCCAGCTACTCAGGAGGCTGAGGCAGGGGAATTGCTTGAACCAAGGAGGTGGAGGTTGCAGTGAGCCGAGATCGCACCAGTGCACTCCAGCCTGGGCAACACAGCAAGACTCCATCACCAAAAAAAAAAAAAAAAAAAAAAAAAAAAAAGTAGAAGATTAAGTGCTAGGCTCTGAAGCAGGAGAACATTTGATGGGATAGTAGCATAAAGGGCCACGGAGTAAAGAGAGATTTTTGTTTTCATTAGGATAAAAGGGATTTCATCATGGTTATAGGCTAAGGGGAGGAATTTAACAAAACAGGAGAGATTGCATTTTCAAGAAGGAGAGAGAGGGGGAAATTGTTGAAACAAGGTTGAGGAGGGGATAGGAGAAGCAATCAGAGCACGGTGAAGTTCACCTTAGAAATTAAGCAGTTTGCTATACTTATAATTTCCTATTGTAAATTGGAAGCAACTTTATGATAACATTACCATTTTAAATTTCAGATGGATGGTAAAGGATAACACGAACACAGTGGCTGTTAACAAGGGCAACATTAATCAACGGAGAGACAGAAAATCACTGTTGAAAAATAGCTGGGCATAGTAAGAATATGGTTTATTTATACACTGTCTAAAACGTGATGACAGTAGCTTTAATTTAAAAGAATTGGTAAGTCACATGTATCTCAACGTCTAGAACAGTGGTTGCCAAAATATGAGCTGATGATCTTTGAGGATGTTATTAAAGAGGTTTGTAAATGCATGTGTACACCAGGCTTTGCCTGAAGACAAAATATAAACGATGTGAGTATGCCTCATATGTCTATGTACACCTGTGTTTTGAATATATGTAAATGCTATTATGGTTAATAAGAAAAATTATTTAAATCACCATTGAAACTATAGTTACTGTCATTTCTGTGTCTCCCAGAATAACAGATTAAAATAACAACTACTATTATGTGTGTTTTTGGTGGTATAAGATGGAGTGGTGAATTTGATCGTTTTTTTTTTTTCTTGAGACAGAGTCTCACTGTGTTGCCTAAGCTGGAGTGCAGTGGTATGATCACAGCTCACTGTAATCCTAAACTCATAGGCTCAAGTGATCATCCTGCCTCAGTCTCCTGAGTAGCTAGGACAGACACATGCTACCATGCCCAGTTAATTTTTATTTTAAAAATATTTTTGTAGAGATGGGGCCTCACTATGTTGCCCAGGCTGGTCTTAAACTCTTGGCCTTAAACAATCCTCCCATCTCAGCCTCCCAACATGCTGGGATTACAGATGTGTGCCACCCTGCCTAACCTGAGAGTCTTTTAATGTTTAGTTTTGTGGTAAACATTAATACTGCTTACTAAAATCGTATTTTCCTCTACTTCTGGGAAAATAGAAAGATTGCATTTTCCCCTTGAGGTTGGGCATGGTGATTTCCTTTGGCCAGTGAAATGTAAGCTGAAATAATTTGTTGGGTTCAGAGAGAAGCATTTAATTGCCAGTGCTCAACAACCCAACTTTCTCTTCCTGTGTCATGTGATCATGGGAACACAAATTGTAGCGATACCATAGAATCAAAGTAGCCTAGAATGCAGGGCCAACACATGTAACATGGGTTCCCTACAGAGTCACCCAGACCCACAGTAGGCTTTGCATGAACAAAACATAAACTTTTGCCAGGCGCAGTGGCTTACGCCTGTAATCCCAGCACTTTGGGAGGCTGAGGCAGGTGGATCACAAAGTCAGGAGATAGAGACCATCCTGGCCAACATGGTCTCTACTAAAAATACAAAAATTAGCGGGGCATGGTGGCGTGTGCATGTAATCCCAGCTACTCAGGAGGCTGAGGCAGGAGAATCGCTTGAACCTGGGAGGCAGAGGTTGCAGTGAGCCGAGATCGCGCCACTGCACTCCAGCCTGGCGACAGAGTAAGATTCCGTCTCAAAAACAAACAAACATAAATTGTTGTGTTTTAGCCACTGAGAGTTGGGGATTGGTTCTTACTGGTGCACAACATAGCCTATATGGATGATACACTCTTTATAATTCAAACCCTCGAGAACTACTGGTGTAGGGAGTATGGGACTTAAATCATTCTGTGGGTGGGAGGTATGTTAAATAAGTTTTTTCTCATTTTTACTGGGTTGGCTGTTAAGAGCTGAAATAGGAGACTATCAAACACATGGATCAGGTATTCCTGACTGTGGCCCCAGACTAGTTGCACCAAAACCACCTGAGGCGCATCATCCTACAAATGCAGATTTTTGGACCCGAACAATAGACCTTCTTAATCGGAATCTCTGGGACAGATCTTGGATTCTGCACTGTAAACAAGCTCCATAAATATTCTTATGTGTCCCCAAAACTGAAAACCACTATTGTAGCCCAGTAATTTCCAAAGTGGCTTATTCACATCTTGGGATATATGAAAGAATCAGTGGAATGTGGAAAAAATATCAGAAATTTTATTGATTTATATGTTTTATTTAGAAAGTAGTAAGAAAAAAATCTTTACTAATATTTAAACATAGATTATCACTTGGGCCTATATTCATACAATATTTATTGAGAGCCTACTATGGCCAGTCACTGTTGTAAGTCCTGGAGATACAAGAGTGAGCAGGACAAAGTCATAGAGTTTACATTCTAGTAGGCAAGACAGACAAAAATGAATAAACAGTAAATATATAAGATGACATAAGGTGATAAATGCTATGTAGGGTAAGAAAGATACAGAATATGGAGAGTGAGGGGAGAATTGCTGTTTTTATAGGGTTGTCAGAGAAGATTTTGGAGAAAACCTTCCCTTGGACTAGGAACCTGAAGGTGAGGGAGCAAGCTATGCAGCTCTCTAGGGGTGATGTATCATGGTCAGAGGAGATAGCAAGGGCAAGAGCTCTGGGGAAGTGTATGTGGTACATTCTTGGTCAAAGGGGCCAGTGTGGGTGGATGGGAATAAGTAACAGGGGGAATAGGAGGAGATCAGGTCACAGAATTGGAGGAGTGGGTGACAGATCTTGTAGGAACCTGTTGGCTACTGTAAAGACTGGCTTATACTCTGAATGAATCATAAAGCCCTTGGAGGGTGTAAACCCTCCAGTGTGTAGAGGTTGAGCAGATGCTGCAGAACTAGTAAAGGAGACTGAGAATATGTGGTCAGTGAAGCAAAAGGCAAATAAATTGCAGATGGCACAAAAGCAATAAAAAAGGAATGACAGTTTCATTTAGTTCTGCTCTGATCTTGGTTACTTCCTTTCTTCTGCTGGGTTTGCATATAGTTTGTTCTTATTTCTCTAGTTCCTTGAGGTGTGATCTTAGAATGTCAATTTGTGCTCTTTCAGTCTTTTTGATGTAGGCATTTAGGGTTATGAACTTTCTTCTTAGCACTGCCTTTCCTGTATCCCAGAGGTTTTGGTGGGTTGTGTCATTATTGTCATTCAGTTCAAAGAATTTTTAAATTTCCAACTTGAGGAGGTTCCAATATGGCCAAATAGGAACAGCTCCAGTCTGCAGCTCCCAGTGTGAGCGACGCAGAAGACGGGTGATTTCTGCATTTCCAACTAAGGTACCAAGTTCATCTCACTGGGGCTTGTCAGACAGTGGGTACAGCCCATGGAGCAGGGTGGGGCATCGCCTCACCCGGGAAGTGCAAGGGGTCAGGGAATTCCCTTTTCCAGCAAAGGGAAGCAGTGACAGATGGTACCTGGAAAATTGGGACACTCCCACCCTAATGCTGCACTTTTCCAATGGCCTAAGCAAACGGCACACCAGGAGATTATATCCCGTGCCTGGCTCGGAGGGTCCCACACCCACGGAGCCCCACTCATTGCTAGCACAGCAGTCTGAGATCAAACTGCAAGGTGGCAGCAAGGCTGGGGGAGGGGCGTCTGCCATTGCTGAGGCTTGAGTAGGTAAACAAAGCATCCTGGAAGCTCTAACTGGGTGGAGCCCACCACAGCTCAAGGAGGCCTGCCTGCCTCTGTAGACTCCACCTCTGGGGGCAGGGCATAGCTGAACAAAAGGCAGCAGAAACTTCTGCAGACTTAAATGTCCCTGTCTGACAGCTTTGAAGAGAGTAGTGGTTCTCCCAGCATGGAGTTTGAGATCTGAGAATGGACAGACTGCCTCAAGTGGGTTCATGACCCCCGAGTAGCCTAAATGGGAGACACCTCCCAGTAGGAGCTGACTGACACCTCATACAGCCGAGTGCCCCTCTGAGACGAAGCTTCCAGAGGAAGCAACATTTGCTGTTCTGAAATATTTGCTGGTCTGTAGCCTCCACTGGTGATACCCAGGCAAACAGGGTCTGTAGTGGACCTCCAGCAAACTCCAACACACCTGCAGCTGAGGGTCCTGACTGTTAGAAGGAAAACTAACAAACAAGGACATCCACACCAAAACCCCATCTGTACGTCACCATCATCAAAGACCAAAGGCAGATAAAACCACAAAGATGGGGAGAAACCAGAGAAGAAAAGCTGAAAATTCTAAAAATCAGAGCACCTCTTCTCCTTGCCAGCAACGGAACAAAGCTGGATGGAGAATGATTTTGACAAGTTGAGAGAAGAAGGCTTCAGACAATCAGTAATAACAAACTTCTCCAAGCTAAAGGAGGATGTTCGAACCCATCGCAAAGAAGCTAAAAACCTTGAAAAAAGATTAGATGAATGGCTAACTAGAATAACCAGTGTAGAGAAGTCCTTAAATGACCTGATGGAGCTGAAAACCATGGCACAAGAACTATTTGATGCATGCACAAGCTTCAGTAGCCAATTTGATCAAGTGGAAGAAAGGGTATCAATGATTGAAGATCAAATGAATGAAATGAAGCGAGAAGAGACGTTTAGAGAAAAAAGAGTAAAAAGAAATGAACAAAGCCTCCAAGAAATATGGGACTATGTGAAAAGAACAAATCTACATCTGATTGATGTACCTGAAAGTGACGAGGAGAATGGAACCAAGCTGGAAAACACTCTTCAGGATATTACCCAGGAGAACTTCCCCAACCTAGCAAGGCAGGCCAACATTCAAATTCAGGAAATACAGAGAATGCCACAAAGATACTCCTCGAGAAGAGCAACAGCAAGACATATAATTGTCAGATTCACCAAAGTTGAAATGAAGGAAAAAATATTAAGGGCAGCCAGAGAGAAAGGTGGGGTTACCCACAAAGGGAAGCCCATCAGACTAACAGCGGATCTCTCCGCAGAAACTCTACAAGCCAGAAGAGAGTGGGAGCCAATATTCAACATTCTTAAAGAAAAGAATTTTCAACCCAGAATTTCATATCAAGACAAACTAAGCTTCATAAGTGAAGGAGAAATAAAATCCTTTACAGACAAACAAATGCTGAGAGATTTTGTCACCATCAGGCCTGCCTTACAAGAGCTCCTGAAGGAAACACTAAACATGGAAAGGAACAACCAGTACCAGCCACTGCAAAAACATGCCAAATTGTAAAGACCATCAAGGCTAGGAAGAAACTGCATCAACTAACGAGCAAAATAACCAGCTAACATCATAATGACAGGATCAGATTCACACATAACAATACTAACCTTAAAGGTAAATGGGCTAAATGCTCGAATTAAAAGACACAGACTGGCAAATTGGATAAAGAGTCAAGACCCATCAGTGTGCTGTATTCGGGAAACGCATCTATGTGTGCAGAGACACACATAGGCTCAAAATAAAGGGATGGAGGAAGATCTACCAAGAAAATGGAAAACAAAACAAAACAAAAAGGCAGGGGTTGCAATCCTAGTCTCGGATAAAACAGACTTTAAACCAACAAAGATCAAAAGAGACAAAGAAAGTCATTACATATTGGTAAAGGGATCGATTCAACAAGAAGAGCTAACTATCCTGAATATATATGTACCCAATACAGGAACACCCAGATTCATAAAGCAAGTCCTTAGAGACCTACAAAGAGACTTAGACTCCCACACAATAATAATGGGAGACTTTAACACCCCACTGTCAACATTAGACAGATCAATGAGACAGAAAGTTAACAAGGATATCCAGGAATTGAACTCAGCTCTGCACCAAGCAGACCTAATAGACATCGACAGAACTCTCCATACCAAATCAACAGAATATACATTCTTCTCAGCACCACATCACACTTATTCCAAAACTGACCACATAGTTGGAAGTAAAGCACTCCTCAGCAAATGTAAAAGAACAGAAATTATAACAAACTGTCTCTCAGACCACAGTGCAATCAAACTAGAACTCAGGATTAAGAAACTCACTCAAAACCACTCAACTACACGGAAACTGAACAACCTGCTCCCGAATGACTACTGGGTACATAACGAAATGAAGGCAGAAATAAAGATGTTCTTTGAAACCAATGAGAACAAAGACACAACATACCAGAATCTCTGGGACACATTTAAAGCAGTGTGTAGAGCGAAATTTATAGCACTAAATGCCCACAAGAGAAAGCAGGAAAGATCTAAAATTGACACCCTAAAATCACAATTAAAAGAACTAGAGAAGCAAGAGCAAACACATTCAAAAGCTAGCAGAAGGCAAGAAATAACTAAGATCAGAGCAGAACTGAAGGAGATACGGACACAAAAAACCCTTCAAAAAATCAATGAATCCAGGAGATGGTTTTTTGAAAAGATCAACAAAATTGCTAGACTGCTAGCAAGACTAATAAAGAAGAAAAGAGAAGAATCAAATAGATGCAATAAAAAATGATAAAGGGGATATCACCACCGATCCCACAGAAATACAAACTACCATCAGAGAATACTATAAACACCTCTATGCAAATAAACTAGAAAATCTAGAAGAAATGGATAAATTCCTGGACACATACACCCTCCCAAGACTAAACTACAAAGAGGTTGAATCCCTGAATAGACCAATAAGAGGTTCTGAAATTGAGGCAATAATTAATAGCCTACCAACCAAAAAGAGTCCAGGACCAGACAGATTCACAGCCAAATTCTACCAGAGGTACAAAGAAGAGCTGGTACCATTCCTTCTGAAACTATTCTAATCAATAGAAAAAGAGGGAATCCTCCCTAATTCATTTTATGAGGCCAACATCATCCTGATACCAAAGCCTGGCAGAGACACAACAAAAAAAAAGAATCTTAGACCAATATCCCTGAGGAATACTGATGCAAAAATCCTCAATAAAATACTGGCAAACCGAATCCAGCAGCACATCAAAAAGCTTATCCATTATGATCAAGTTGGCTTCATCCCTGGGATGCAAGGCTGGTTTAACATATGCAAATCAATAAACGTAATCCATCATATAAACAGAACCAAAGACAAAAAACTACATGATTATCTCAATAGATGCAGAAAAGGCCTTCGACAAAATTCAACAGCCCTTCATGATAAAAACTCTCAATAAACTAGGTATTGATGGGACGTATCTCAAAATAATAAGAGCTATTTATGACAAACCCACAGCCAATATCATACTGAATGAGCAAAAACTGGAAGCATTCCCTTTGAAAACTGGCACAAGACAGGGATGCCCTCTCTCACCACTCCTATTCAACATAGTGTTGGAAGTTCTGAACAGGGCAATCAGGCAAGAGAAAGAAATAAAGGGTATTCAATTAGGAAAAGAGTAAGTCAAATTGTCCCTGTTTGCAGATGACATGATTGTATATTTAGAAAACCCCATCGTCTCAGCCCGAAATCTCCTTAAGCTGATAAGCAATTTCAGCAAAGTCTCAGGATACAAAATCAATGTGCAAAAATCACCAGCATTCCTATACACCAAGAACAGACGCACAGAGAGCCAAATCATGAGTGAACTCCCATTCACAATTGCTTCAAAGAGAATAAAATACCTAGGAATCCAACTTACAAGGGATGTCAAGGACCTCTTCAAGGAGAACTACAAACCACTGCTCAACGAAATAAAAGAGGACAAAAACAAATGGAGGAACATTCCATGCTCATGGAGAGGAAGAATCAATATTGTGAAAATGGCCATACTACCCAAGGTAATTTATAGATTCAATGCCATCCCCATCAAGCTACCAATGACTTTCTTCACAGAATTGGAAAAAACTACTTTAAAGTTCATATGGAACCAAAAAAGAGCCCACATTGCCAAGACAATCCTAAGCCAAAAGAAGAAAGCTGGAGGCATCATGTGACCTGACTTCAAACTATACTACAAGTCTACAGTAACCAAAACAGCACAGTACTGGTACCAAAACAGAGACATAGACCAATCCAACAGAACAGAGGCCTCAGAAATAATACTACACATCAACAACCATCTGATCTTTGACAAACCTGACAACAAGAAATGGGGAAAGGATTCCCTATTTAATAAATGGTGCTGGGAAAACTGGCTAGCCATAAGTAGAAAGCTGAAACTGGATCCCTTCCTTATAAGGTGTATATTTACACCTTATAAAAAATTAATTCAAGATGGATTAAAGATTTAAATGTTAGACCTAAAACCATAAAAACCCTAGAAGAAAACGCAGGCAACACCATTCAGGCCATAGGCATGGGCAAGGACTTCATGACTAAAACACCAAAAAGCAATGGCAACAAAAGCCAAAATTGACAAATGGGATCTAATTAAATTAAAGAGCTTCTGCACAGGAAAAGAAACTACCATCAGAGTGAACAGGCAACCTACAGAATGGGAGAAAATTTTTGCAATCTACCCATCTGACGACAGGCTAATATCTGGACTCTACAAAGAACTCAAACAAATTTACAAGAAAAAATAAAAAAACCCCATCAAAAAGTGGTCGAAGGATATGAAGAGACACTTCTCAAAAGAAGACATTTATGCAGCCAACAGACACATGAAAAAATGCTCATCATCACTGGCCATCAGAGAAATGCAAATCAAAACCACAATGAGATACCATCTCACACCAGTTAGAATGGCGATCATTAAAAAGTCAGGAAGCAACAGGTGCTGGAGAGGATATGGAGAAATAGGAACGCTTTTACATTGTTGGTGGGACTATAAAGTAGTTCAACCATTGTGGAAGACAGTGTGGCGATTCCTCACAGATCTAGAACTGGAAATACCATTTGACCCAGCCATCCCATTACTGGGCATATACCCAAAGAATTATAAATCATGCTGATATAAAGACACATGCACACGTATGTTTATTGCGGCACTATTCACAATAGCAAAGACTTGGAATCAACCCAACTGTCCATCAATGATAGACTGGATTAAGAAAACGTGGAACATATACACCATGGAATACTATGCAGCCATAAAAATTGATGAGTTCATGTCCTTTGTAGGGACATGGATGAAGCTAGAAACCATCATTCTGAGCAAACTATCACAAGGACAGAAAACCAAACACCGCATGTTCTCACTCACAGGTGGGAATTGAACAATGAAAACACTTGGACACAGGGTGGGGAACATCACACACTGGGGCCTGTCATGGGGTCAGGGGAGCGGGGAGGGATAGCATTAGGAGATATACCTAATGTACATGACAAGTTAACGTGTGCAGCACACCAACATGGCACATGTATACATATGTAACAAAACTGCACGTTGTGCACATGCAGCCTAGAACTTAAAGTATAAAAAAAAATTTCCAACTTGATTTTCTTTTTGACCCAATGAAATTGGAAAAAAAAGTTAAAGATAAATGAAACAAGAAGCTGGTTCTTT
Source organism: Homo sapiens (assembly GCF_000001405.40). Taxonomy (NCBI): domain Eukaryota; kingdom Metazoa; phylum Chordata; class Mammalia; order Primates; family Hominidae; genus Homo; species Homo sapiens. The sequence continues at coordinate 109,781,233 of NC_000004.12, forward strand.
AAAAATATAAATAAAATTGATAGACCATTAGCAAGATTAACCAAGAAAAGAAGAGAAAAAAATTCAAATAAGCTCGATAAGAAAGGAAACAGGAGATACTACAACTGACACCACTGAAATACAAAAGATCATTCAAGGCTACTATGAACATCTTTACGCACATAAACTAGACTAGAAGAGATGGATAAATTCCTGGAAAAATACAACCCTTCTAGCTTAAATGAGGAAGAATTAGATACCCTGAACAGACCAATAACAATCAGCCATATTGAAATGGTAATTAAAAAATTACCAATGAACAAAAGGTCCAGGACCAGACAGATTCACAGCAGAATTCTACCAGACACTCAAAGAAGAATTTGTACCTATCCTTTTGACACTATTCCACAAGATAGAGAAAGAAGGAACCCTCCCCAATTCATTCTGTGAAGCCAGCATCACCCTTATACCAAACCCAGGAAAGGACATAACCAAAAAAGAAAACTACAGACTGATATCTTTGAAGAACACAGAAGCTAAAATCCTTAACAAAATACTAGCTAACCAAATCGAACAACATATCAAAAAGATAATCTACCATGATCAAGTAGGCTTCATACCAGGGATGCAGGGGTGGTTTAACATACACAAGTCAATAAATGTGATACACAACATAAGCAGAATGAAAAACCAAAGTCACATGATCACCTCAGTAGATGCAGAAAAAGCATTCGACAAAATCTAACATCGCTTTAGGATTAAAACTCTCAGCAAAATCGGCATACAAGGGGCATACCTTAATGTAATAAAAGCTATCTATGACAAACCCACAGCCAACATAGTACTGAATGGGGAAAAGTTGAAAGCATTCCCTCTGAGAACTGGAACAAGACAAGGATGCCCACTCTCACCATTCCTCTTCAACACAGTATTGGAAGTCCTAGCCAGAGTAAACAGACAAGAGAAATAATTTTATTTCTTTCTCTTTATGGGCATCCAAACCGGTAAAGAGGAAGTCAAATGGTCACTTTTTGCTGACATAATGATTGTTTACCCTGAAAACCCTAAAGACTCCTCCAGAAAGCTCTAGAACTGATACAAGAATTTAGTAAAGTTTCTGGATACAAGATTAATGTACACAAATCAATAGCTCTTCTATACACCAACAGCGACCAAGCACAGAATCAAATCAAGAACTCAACCCCTTTTACAATAGCTGCAAAAAAAAAAAAAATACTTAGGAATATACCTAACCAAGGAGTTGAAAAACTTCTACAAGGAAAACTACAAAACAGTGCTGAAAGAAATCATAGATGACAAAAACAAATGGAAACACATCCCATGCTCATGGATGGATAGAATCAATATTGTGAAAATGCCCATACCGCCAAAAGAAATCTACAAATTCAATGCAATCCAAATACCAAAATACCACCATCACTTTTCACAGAATTAGAAAAAAAAATTCTAAAATTCATATGGAACCAAAAAAAGAGCCCACATAGCCAAAGCAAGACTAAGCAAAAAGAGCAAATCTGGAAGCATCACACTACCTGATTTCAAACTATACTATAAGGCCATAGTCACCAAAACAGTGTCGTACTGGTATAAAAATAGGCACATAAACCAATGAAACAGAATAAGAACCCAGAAATAAACCCAAATACTTACAGCCAACTGATCTTCGACAAAGCAAGCAAAAACATAAAGTGGCGAAAGGACACCCTTTTCAACAAATGGTACTGGGATAATTGGCTAGCCACATGTAGGAGAATGAAAGTGGATTCTCATCTCTCACCTTATACAAAAATCAACTCAAGATGGATTAAGGACTTAAACCTAAGACCTGAAAGTATAAAAATTCTAGAAGATAACATTGGAAAAACCCTTCTAGACATAGGCTTAGGCAAGGATTTCATGACCAAGAACCCAAAAGCAAATGCAATAAAAACAAAGATAAATAGCTGGGACTTAATTAAACTAAAGAACCTTTGCACAGCAAAAGGAACAGTCAGCAGAGTAAACAGACAACCCATAGGGTGTGAGAAAATCTTCACAATCTTTACATCTGAAAAAAGACTAACATCCATAATCTACAATGAACTCATACAAATCAGTAAGAAAAAACAATCCCATCAAAAAATGGGCTAGGGACATGGATAGACAATTTTCAAAAGAAGATATACAAATGGCCAACAAACATATGAAAAAATGCTCAACATCACTAATGACCAGGGAAATGCAAATCAAAACCACAATGTGATACCACCTTACTCCTGCAAGAATGGCCATAATAAAAAAATAAAAAAATAGTAGATGTTGGTGTGGATGTGGTGATCAGGGAACACTTCTACACTGCTGGTGGGAATGTAAAGTAGTGCAGCCACTGTGGAAAACAGTGTGGAGATTCCTTAAAGGACTAAAAGTAGAACTACCATCAGATTCAGCAATCCCGCTACTGGGTATCTACTCAGAGGAAAATAAGTTATTATTCTGAAAAGATACTTGCACATGCATGTTTATGGCCGCACAATTTACAATTGCAAAATCGCAGAGCCAATCCAAATGCCCACCATTCAATGAGTGGATAAAGAAACTGTGATATATATATATATATATATATGATGGAATACTACTCAGCCATAAAAAGGAATGAATTAACAGCATTTGCAGTGACCTGGATGAGATTGGAGACTATTGTTCTAAGTGAAGTAACTCAGGAATGGAAAACCAAATATCGTACGTTCTCACTGATATGTGGAAGCTAAGTTATGAGAACCCAAAGACATAAGAATAATAAAATGAACTTTGGAGACTTGGAGGGAAGAGTGGGAGGGAGGCAAGGGATAAAAGACTACAAATATGGTGCAGTGTATACTGCTCGGGTGATGGGTGCACCAAAATCTCACAAATCACCACTAAAGAACTTGCTCATGTAACCAAATACCACCTGTACCCTAATAACTAATGGAAAAATAAAAAAATAAATAAAAAGAAGTGATGAACAACTGTGTTAAATACTTCCCCATTGTGACTTTGACAAATGTAATTTTAGTGGAATGGGGAAAACCAAGCCTAATTACATTCAAGAAAGAATAGAAAGAGGGAAATAAGCATAACAAATTTTTAAGAGTTTAGATGTGAAGGGGCACAGTTTAGAGAAATGGGGTGATAGTTGGAGGAGGGTATAGGGTTAAAGGAGAGTTTTTCTTTTAAGATAGAGAATCATATACATGCGCTTGATTAAGGAATTTTATGTGATCTAGTTTTAGCTAAATTAATCCTCACAAACTGACAAGTGATTTAAAGAGATTCTTGTTGATAGATGAATCCTGGATTAAAAACAATGCCAAAATACAACACCAATGAAAAACAAAAAATGTCAGAGTCTACACTTCTAGCATCAGTAGAAGCTGTTCATTAGCCACATTATGAGAAGAAAAAATAATGAAAAGCTAATCAGATATGACAAGAAGTCAGTTCTTTCTCTCCATCAGCAGTACTAAAAAGACTACTTGAAATACAGACTTACATCTAACACATTAATGATGAACCTCCTCCTATGTATTTACTGTGCATGTTGCTCTTTCTCAAGTATCTTTTGTCAGGCCTCTGAGCCCAAGCTAAGCCATCATATCTCCTGTGACCTGCACGTATACATCCAGATGGCCTGAAGCAACTGAAAGAACCACAAAAGATGACATTCCACCATTGTGATCTGTTCCTGCCCCACTCTAACCGGTCAATTGACCTTATGACAATACACCCTCCCCACCCTTGCGATAATGTACTTTGTGATATTCACCCCCGCAAGAAGCTACTTTGTAATATTCTCCCCACCCTTGAGAATGTACTTTGTGAGATCCACCCCCTGCCCACAAATTGCTCCTAACTCCACTGTCTGTCCCAAACCTATAAGAACTAATGATAATCTCACCACCCTTTGCTGACTCTCTTTTCGGACTCAGCCCGCCTGCACCCAGGTGATTAAAAAGCTTTATTGCTCACACAAAGCCTGTTTGGTGGTCTCTTCACACAGACACACGTGACATCTTTCCCAGCCAATATGTTATTAAAATAAAGTGAAAAATTTTAAAAATAATGAAGTGTGATTAATGGCATTATTCCATGAAAGAGTAGTAGTCAAAATTGTTGTTAAAATATTATCTTTGTGTTGAAAATTTTGTTTGTTTTAAGATGCATTTCTTTGTACAGCAGTGCACTTATTATTTATATATAAATACATTCACATATATTAGGAGCACATATTCAGAAATTTATTTACTTATATTTTTGCTCCCCACCCACACTTTTTTGCTCTCCACCCGCCCTCCCCAAAATCTTTTTAACAATTATTAATCAGCCTGGTGATCTACAAAACATGATTCCATCTCCTCTAGCTGCTGCTGCTTCTCTGTGTATATGGGTGATATGGTTAGGCTTTGTGTCCCCACCCAAATCTCATCTTGAATTATAATCCCCATAATCCCCATAATTCTGTGTCAAGGGAGAGACCAAGTGGAGGTAATTAAATCATGGGGGCGGTTTCACCTATGCTGTTCTTGTAATAGCGAGTGAATTCTTACAAGACCTGATGGTTTCATAAGGGGCTCTTCCTCCTTCACTTAATACTTCCTCCTGCCGCTTTGTGAGAAGGTGCCTTGCTTCCTCTTCATCTTCCATCATGATTGTGAGTTTCCTGAGGCCTCCCCAGCCATGCTGAACTGTGAGTCAATTAAACCTCTTTCCTTTATAAATTACCTAGTCTTGGGCAGTTCTTTATAGCAGTATGAAAATGGACTAATACAATGGGCTTTTAAAAAATTCTTTAAAAAAAAAACAAAAAAAACCAAAGTCTAGCTCTGAGAGTGAGTGCAGTGACAATTTCAGCTCACTGCAACTTCTGTCTCCTGGGTTCAAGCAATTCTTCTGCCTCAACCTCCTGTGTAGCTGGGATTACAAGTGCCTGCCACCATGCCCGGCTAATTTTTGTGTTTTTAGTAGAGATGCTGTTTCACCATAATGGCCAGGCTGGTCTCGAACTCCTGACCTCCATTAATCCACTCGCCTCAGCCTCCCAAAATGCTGGGATTACAGGCATGAGCCACCACATCCAGCCTAAAAATTATTTCTTTGGTATTTGCAGTGACATAGCAATTATTTTTATGTAAACTTTATCTTTTTTTTCTCTAGGCAGGAGACCAGTGAAACAATTTTAGATGGTCGTTCATTAGAACACAAACAAGAAATAAAACAACCTCCTTTTTCTAGACCTTATTAACCCAGTATATAGCTATATGCCTTATCCTCAAGTTTCTTCATTGCCCTGTTTTGCCTGTCTTTTCCATATTTAACCTATAAACAAGAAAAACACATGATCAGTTATGATTAAAGCAAGGAAAAGTCCACCCCTTTCCCTTTCTTCTGGGTACTATTGGAATGTTCCCCTTCTATTGCTAATTAGCTGTGTGATCTTGGATAAGTGACTTTATCCTTCTGATCCTGTTCCTCTTCTATAAAATGTGGAAAATAAAAATAATGTTCACACAGAGATAGTGTGAGGATCAGATGAAAAATACATGGGAAACACAAATAAACATTGAAGATCTGTATAAATGTGAATATGATAATGATTTTGGTAGACTGCCTATAGCCCCTCCTTGTTCTATCCTCATTTCACCCTAGTTCTTTACTGTATGCTTTACCGGGCACAGGGTGTATTACCCTGTTCTTTGAAAGATGCTTGGAAAGTACTTGTGCAACTGGGTTTGTCCTTGTGTTTCTCTGAATAGCTAGGAGAAGAGCATGACCAGGCTAGCACAGACATAAAAAGAAGAACCAGCCCTTCTGAGCCCAGTATAGGCCAGCTGACTCCCCACTGACCTACAGACTTGTATACCTAATAAAGTTGTATACCACTGAGATTATGTAGTGCTTTTATTATTATGGCATTAACCAACTGGTACAATGATGATTTCCCTGGAAATCACTGAGAAAAACAATTGGAAAACTTTCAAAAACAGCCAACTATATAACTGTTGTCTTTCTTCCAGAAGTGAATAAGCAACTTGGATCCCAAGAGTTAACAACCACATCAGAAACCTTTCCATTGAAAGAGTTTTAGGCCCCCTGTGGCCTTAGTTATTCCCATCATGGTCTTTACTAGCAATTTTTCTTCCACTTTTTTCTCTCCTTGGAGCTGCCCGTTTTGCATTGTACCTGGGAGCAGCCCTGCTTTTGACATAAAGTGATGCCACAGATGCCCCACAAACTCCTTAACAGCAACCATTCTATTCAGATTAAAAAATAGGGAGAGAATGTTTCTCTGGTAATACCTAACAATGAATTGTTCCAATTCACATAAGAAATTTGATAAGGTCTTTTGTTTTTTTTTTAATTTTAAAAATAAATATTCATCTTTTTTCCAGAATCAGAATGTTGTTGGGAATTGTGGGAAGATGACTGTATGCTGTGGTCAGGTAGGATGGCTTCTTGTGTGCTAATTTTTAGTCTCTCTAAAAAACTGGAAATATTGTTTTGGGGTCAACTCCATTATTTTTGTCTTAGAGATTAAAAAGAAAATCATCTGTCTAGTTTTCTGGTCTTGTTTTTTTCATAATGAATGTAAGATGGCTAAAATTTTGTCTATTTTTTAAATTTTTAATAGATTTTTTTGAATAGGAAACAGAGAGAATTGTTCAAACAGGTTCAAAAATGTGCCTGTAAAAGTTATGTTTCCTTCCTTTCCTTATCCTCTCAATCCACTCAGGCCCCACTTCAGAGGCAACCACTTAACAGCTCTTTGTGAGTCTTTCCAGAGATCATGAATGTATACATGAGCCCATGTTACTCTCCAATCTGTGCCCCAACATCAGTGCATTTGTAACTAGTGGCCCTATAATCAGCCCGCAAAGGGCAGTTAGATAGTTTCTAATGTTTTACTATTATAAATAATGCTATGATGAATCTCCTTATATAATACACATCATTTCTCACATATGCTAAGTATATCTGCCAGATACTTCCCTGGAAGTGAAATTGCTGAATCAAAGGAATGAGTAATTTTAATATCCAGAAAGATATTGGCTAATTTTGCTCTACAGAGGTTGTTTTAAATTGCATTCCCATCATCAATATATGAGAATATCTAGTTTCCATACTCTTGATTACAGAGTATATATTATGTTTCCACAGCACACTTTTACTTGCATTTTTTTCTGAGTGAAGTTGAGCATCTTCCGTATGCTCAAATTTTAAGAGAGATTTTTACTTCTTTCTTTACATCCTAACCATATCTTTCAGTGATATAGATTTTTTCTTGTTTTTTGTAGTAACTCTTTATATATTAAAGAAACCAGCACTTTATCTGGAATATGAATTGCAAAACTAATGGCAAGTTTAGTGTATTTGTCCCACAGCACAGACACTTTTAAAACACCCCCATATAAGAAAATTATTTTTAGTAAAAATCATGAAATGAAAGGAATAATGAATTATGAAGAAAATGCAAAGTGAACATTTTTAAATGGAAATTCAGATATATAATCAAATCTGTAAAAAATTTAAAAAGTAAATTTAAAATACATATTACAGTACAAACAGCATCCAACAAGGCAAAATTAATAATATTTGACATTTAATACAAAATAGTAGGCATCAGAGAAGTCATAAAATATGACCCATGATGAGGAGAAAAAACAGGCAATTGAAACTTACCCAGAATTCTAAAACAGGTGTTAACATTACTAGGCAAGGAGATTTAAAAAGTTATTTTAACTGTATTCCACATGTTCAAAAATAAAGACACAGATGATATGAAAAGGATCCAAATTGAACTTCTAGGGATAAAAACTACAATACACTTGATGGAACCAAAGCCAAACCAGATATGCAGAAGAAAAGACTGGGAAACTTAAAGACATATCAATGGAAACTACAATAAAATTTTAAAAAATAAAAAAATTAAAGAATAGAGTATAAATGAACTGTGGGGCAACTTCAAGTAGCCTAGTACATATGTAATTGGAGCCTCCAAAAAAGAGGACAAAATGAGGGAACAAAAAACATATTTGAAGAAATAATGGCTGAAATTTATCCAAATTTGAGAACAAATGAGGAATGAACCCCAAGCAGGAGAATCATGAAGGAAATTGCACCAAACCATGTCACACTCAAATTACTTGGAAACCAATAACTAAGAGAAAATCTTCAAAAGAGTCAAGGAAAAAAGACACTATGTACAGAGAAACGAAGATAAGTATGACATTTCTCATCAATAATGCAAATGCGAAGACAATGCAGCAACAATTTTAAAGTACTGAAAGAGAAAATTGGCAATCTATAATTCTATACCCAGTAAAAATATCATTCAAAAATTTAGGCAAAAGAACAACCTTTTTAGACACACAAAAGCTGAAGGAATTAGCAGCATACCTGCAGTACAAGAAAAAGCAGAAGGAAAATTATCACAGAGGGAAATCTGATCTATACAAATAAATTAAGGATACTGGAAATCTTTGGGAGTTTTTGATTTGGTGGGAAGATAGTCTTCATCTCTGTTTTGCAATTTTTCTTGTGGTATCTTTGATTTTGCTATTATGGTAATTTATTGGCCTCGCGGAATGCATAGGAAGTGTTCCCTCCTCTTTACCTTTTGAAAGTGTTTGAGAAAAATTAGTGTTAATTCTCTTTATATGTTTGGTAGAATTCACGAGTGAAGCCATCTGGTTACAGATATTTCTTTTTTGGGAAATTTTAAAATTACTGATTTAATACTTTTACTTGCTATAGGTCTGTTCAGATTTTCTAATTCTTCTTGAATTAGTTTTGGTGATTTGTGTGTTTCTAGGAATTCATTAATATTTCTAGGTTATCTAATTTGCTGGCATATAATTGCTCATAGCATTCTCTTATCATTCTTATTTCTGTAAGATCAGTAGTAATACCTCCAATTTCACTTCTGATTTTAGGTATTTGTATCTTCTCTCTTTTTTCTTTCTCAGTTTAGCTAAGGTCTGACAATTTTGTGGCTATTTCCAAAGAACGAACTTGTGATTTCATTGATTCTATTGTCTTACTATATATTTTTTGTTTCTACTCTAATCTTTATTCTATTTTTTCTTCTAGCTTTGGGTTTAGTTTGCTCTTCCTTTTTCTAAAGAAGATATGCTTCTTAAGTTGTAAAGTTAGATTATCAATTTGAGATCTTTACTCTTTTTTAAAACTTTTAAGTTCAGGGTTTGTTTTATAGGTAAATTTGTGCAGGTTTGTTATGTAGGTAAACTCGTGTCATGGGGGTTTGTTGTACAGATTATTGTATCACCCAGGTATTAAGCCTAGTAACCATTAGTTATTTTTCCTGATGCTCTTCCTCCTCCCAGCCTCCATCTTCTAATAGGCCCAGTGTGTCTGATAGGCCCCTCTATGTGTCTATGTGTTCTCATAATTTAGCTTCCACTTATAAATGAGAACATGTGGTATTTGGTTTTCTGTTTCTGCATTTGTTTACTGAGGAAATGGCCTCTGGCTCCATCCATGTTCCTGCAAAAGACATGATCTTGTTGATCTTGTTCTCTTTTAGGACTGAGTAGTACTCCATGGTGTATATGTACCACATTTTCTTTATCCAGTCTACCATTGATGGGCATTTAAGGTGATTCCATGTCTTTGCTATTGTGAATAGTGCCGCAATGAACATATGTGTGCATGTGTCTTTATGATAGAACAATTTGTACTCCTTTAGGTATATACCCAGTAATGGGATTGCTGGGTTGAATGGAATTTCTCTTTTTAGGTCTTTGTGGAATTGCCACACTGTGTTCCACAATGGTTGAGCTAATTTACACTACCACTAAATGTGTATAAGCATTCCTTTTTCTCCACAACCTCGACAGCATGTTATTTTTTTGGACTTTTTAATAGTGCCATTCTGACTGGTGTGAGATGGTATTTCATTGTGGTTTTAATTTGCATTTATCCAGTGATCACTGATGTTGGGCTTTTTTTCATATGATTGCTGCTGCATATAAGTCTTCTTTTGAAAAGTATCTGTTCATGTCCTTTGTCCACTTTTTAATGGGTTGTTTTTTTCTTGTAAATTTGTTTAAGTTCCTTATAGATACTAGATATTAGACCTTTGTCAGATGCATAATTTGCAAACATTTTCTCCCATCCGTAGGGTGTCTGTTCACTCTGCTGATAATTTATTTTGCTGTGCAGAAGCTCTTTAGTTTAATTAGATCCCATTTGTCAATTTTTGCTTTGTTGTGATTGCTTTTGGTGTCTTCGTCATGAAATCTTTGCTCATTCCTATGTCCAGAATAGTATTGCCTAGGTTGTCTTCCAGGGTTTTCATAGTTTTGGGTTTTACATTTAATTCTTTAATCTATCTTGAGTTAATTTTTGTATATGGTCTAAAGAAGGGGTCCAGTTTCAATTTTCTGCAATTGGCTAGCCAGTTATCCCAGCATCATTTATTGAATAGGGAGTCCTTTCCCCATTGCTTCTTTTTGTCAGATTTGTAGAAGATCAGATACTTGTAAGGGTGCAGCCTTATTTCTGGGTCCTCTATTCTTTTTTAATGTAGGCATTTACTGCTATACATTTATCTTTGATAACTGCTTTCGCTGCATATCATATGTTTTGGTATGTTGTGTTTTGTTTTCATTTATCTCCAAGTATTCACAATTACCCTTGTGATTTCTTCTTTGACCATTGGTTGCTTAAGAATATGTTGTTTAATTTCCACATATTTGTAGATTTTCTAATTTTCTTTCTGTTATTGGTTTCCAGCCTTATTCCACTGTGGTTAGAGAAGCTACTCTGTATAATTTCAATATTTGTAAAATTTATTAAGACTCATTTTGTGACAAGTCCTATACGGTCTATCTTAGAAATTGTTCCATGTGCGCTTGAGAAAAATGTGTATTCTGCTATTATTGAGTGCAGAGTTCTATATATGTCTAGTTATTAGGTCTACTGGGCTTATAGTGTTGTTCAAGTTCTCCATTCCTTATTGACCTTCTATTCATTATAGAAAGTGGAGTATTGAAGCTTCCAACTATTATTATATTATTATCTATTTCTGGTCAGGCACAGTGACTCACGCCTATAATCTCAGCACTTTGGGAGGCCAAGGGCAGATCACCTGAGGTCAGGAGTTCAAGATCAGCCTGGGCAACATGGTGAAACCCTGTCTCTACTAAAAATACACAAATTAGCCGGGCGTGGTGGTGCACTCCTATAATCCCAAATACTTGGGAGGCTGAGGCATGAGAATCACTTGAATCAGCTGCAGTGAGCCGATATCATGCCACTGCATTCCAGCCTGGATGACTCCATCTCAAAAACAAAAACAAAAACAAAAACAAACCCACCCCCCCCAAAACAAGAATTGTCTGTTTCTCTCTTTTATTCTGTCACTTTTCATTCATATCTTTTGGGGCTCTATTGTTTAGTGTATAATATTCATAATTGTTATATATTCCTGAAGAATTGACCCTTTCATTAATATATCATGTAATTTATCTCTTGTAACGGTTTTTGACTTAAGGTCTATTTTGTCTGGTATTAGTATAGCCACTTTAGCTCTTTTTTGATTGTTATTTGCACATAATATCTTTTCTATCCTTTATTTCTTTGGACCTAAAGGCAGCCTCTTTAGACAGCATATAGTTGGATAATAATTTTAAAAAACTGATTCTGCCAATCTCTGCCTTTTGATATTAGAATTTAATCCACTTCCATTTAAAGTAATTGCTGATAAGAAAGGACTTACTCTTCTATTTGCTATTTGTTTATTGTATGTCTTATACCTTTTTTGTTTCTCATTTTCTCCATTACTGCCCTTTTTGTGTTTAGTTGATTTTTTCATATTCAACTATTTCAGTTCTCTCTTTATTTCCTTCTGTGTATATTTTTTAGATATTTTCTTTTTCGGTACTATGGAGATTACAATTAATAGTGATTAAATTTATAGTAATCTAGTTTGAATTGATAACTTGGCTTTGAGAGCATACAAAACTCTGTTCCTATACTGCTCCATCCATTCCTTTATGTTGTTATTGTCATGTTACATCTTTATACATTGTGCACTGTTAACACAGAATTAGAATCGTTTTATATAGTTGTCTTTTAACTCATGTGGGAAAGGAAAAGAAGAGATACAAAACCAAAATAATATAATACTGGCTTTTATATTTACCTATGTAGTTACCTTTACTGGAGTTCTTTATTTCTTCATATTACTTCAAGTAACTGCCAAATGTCCTTTCACTGCAGTATGCAGGGTTCTCTGACTTGCACTGTATTTCTTTATTTTAATTTAATTTTATTTTAGAGATGATCTCACTCTGTTGCCCAGGTTTGAATGAAGTGGTGTAGTCAGAGCTCACTGCAGTTTTGAACTCCTGAGCTCAAGTGATTCTCCCACCTCAGCCTCCCGAGTAGCTGAGACTACAGATACATGCCACTACACCTAGCTAATTTTATTTTTTAGAGAGATGGGCTCCTGCTGTGTTTTCCAGGATAGTCTTGAACTCCTGGGCTTAAGCAGTCCTCCTGCCTCATTCCCCTAAAGTGCTGGGATTATAGGCAATGAGCCACCACACCCAGCTACTTGTAGTGCATTTCCTGTAGGACAGGTCTATTAGTAGCTAACTCCTTCAGCCTCTATTTATCTGTGAATTTCTTCATTTCTCCTTCATTTGTGAAGGATAGTTTTGCCAGATACAGAATTCTTGGTTGACAGTTTTTTACTTTCAACAAATAAAATTTTCATCTGCCCTCCATGGTTTCTGATGAGAAAGCTGCTGCTAATCTTACGGAATCTCATGACTATGTTGTTTTCAAGACTTTCTTCATCCTTGGTTTTGACAATTTGATTATAATGTGTCTTGGTTTGAACCTTTTTGTGTTTATCCTTCTTGGATTGCATTGAGCTTTTTGAATGTGGACAGCCATGCATTTGATCAAATGTGGAAATTTTTCAGCCATTATTTCTTCATATATTCTCTCTTACTTTCTTATTTTCTCCTTCTGGGGTTCCATTATATATATTTTGGTATGCTTTATGGTGTCACACGAGTCTCATAGGCTCTGTTCATTCCTTGTCATCCTTTTTTCTTTCTGCTTCTCATACTGGATAATTAATTAAATGGACTGATCTTCAAGTTTGTTGACTATTTCTTCTGCCTGCTCAAATCTTCTACTGAAACCTATTAGAAAATTTTTCATGTTTGTTATTGTGCTTTTCAACTCCAGAAGTTTTGTCTAGTTCCTTTTTAAAATTTCTATTTGTTGGCCAGTCACGGTGGCTCATACCTGTAATCCCAGCACTTTGGGAGGGTGAGGTGGGTGGATCACTTGAGGTTCAGGAGTTCAAAACCAGCCTGGCCAACATGGTGAAACCCCATCTTTACTAAAAATACAAAAATTAGCTGGGTGTGGTGGTGGGCACCTGTAATTCCAGCTATTCAGGGGGCTAAGGCATGAGAATTGCTTGAACCTGGGAGGCAGAGGTTGCAGTGAGCCAAGATTGTGCCACTGCACTCCAGCTTGGGTGACAGAGCAAGACTCTGTCTCCAAAACAATTCTATTTATTTATTAATATTCTATATTTGTTTATACATTATTATCAGGGTTTCCTGTAGCTCTGAGCACATTTAAGACAGTTGAAGCGTGTGACATTGGCAAGATGGTGGAACAAAATGTCCCAGCACTTGTCTTCCCACAGAAACACCAATGTAACAACCATCTACAAATAAAAATACCTTTATGAGAGCTCCAGGATCAAGGTGAGAGGTTACAGCATGCAAGTGGAACAAATATATGAGAAAAAATTGAAAGGATAAGAAAATAAATTTCACTTTATAGAGTTACCCTTTACCCTACACAGCATACACGATGCTGAAAGAGATTCCTTTGGATCATGAGCTCTCTTGTGGGGGAAAAAGAGAGCAACCCTGCTCCTGGGCACTGGCATCAAGACTGTCTACCCACACAGTGACGGTGGCACCAGGCCTGCCCGTGGACCACAGCACCGAGCCCACTGGTAGACCCAGGCACCAGGCCCACCCACACATGGTCTCAAGCAACAAGCCGTTCACACGGGCCTTGCCAGCTGACCCACCCAGAATCTCTGGCTGACTGATTTGTGAAAGACTTTTTCTGCCAAAGTCAGTCTGTGAAGACTGAAAGAGGTGGCTGCTTCTTCAAACATCCAGACATTAATACAGGTTACAAGGATTATGAAGAAAAAAGACACTATCCAAGGAGCACATAAAGCTCCAATAAGTGACTCTAAAGAATTGGAGACCTACAAATTGCTTGACAAAGAATTCAAAGTAACATCTTAAAGAAGCTCAAAGAGCTATAAAAGGACACAGATAAACAACTACACAAAATTAGGGGAAAATAATTCATGAGCAAAATGAGATATTCAACAAACATAAACCATAAAAAAGAACCAAAGAGAAATTTTGGAGGTGAAAATAATACAATAAAGGAACTGAAAAATTCAGTAGAGAGCTCATACACCATACTTAGTCAAACAGAAGAGAGAATCAGTGAACTCAAAGACAGGTTATTTGAAATTATATGGTCAGAGGAACAAAATGAAAAAGTATAAAGACTACAGGACTTGTGGGATACCCTCAAGCCAACGAATGAATGCATTATGTTATTTACAGAAGGAGAAGAGAAAGGGAAAAGGAAAGAAAGCTTATTTAAATTAACAATGCCTGAAAACATCTCAAATCTAGGGAAGGAAATGGACATCTGGATTCATGAGGACCAAAAGGATCACAAAGATATCTAACCTAAAAAGGTCTAGACTGAGACACATTATAATCAAATTCTCAAATGTCAAAGACAAAAAGACAATTTTGAAAGAACGAGAAAAGCAACTTGTCATATACAAAGAAAACCCTATAAAACTATCAGTGGATTTATTCTTCAAATTTCTTCTTCTTCAGAAACACTGCAGGCCAGGAAAGAGTGGGATAATATATTCAAAGTGTCATAACGAAGAAACAAAAAACCCCAAAACCACTGCCAACCAAGAATATTACACCCAGAAAAACTATCCTCTAAAAATGAAAGAGAGATAAAGACTTTCCCTAATAAATCAAAACAGGAAATACATCACCTGCCTTACAAGAAATGATAAAAGGTTTTATTCAAGTTGAAATGAAAAGATGATAAACAGCAACACTAAAGCTGCAGGATACAAAAACAACATACAAAAATCAGTGGTGTTTCTATACATCAATAATGAACTGTCCTAGAAAGAATTTTAAGAAAACCATCTCAGGCCAGGTGCAGCAGTTCATGCCTATTTCCCAGTGCTTTGAGAGGCCATGGTGGGAGGATCCTTTGAGGCCAGGAGTTTGAGACTAGTCTGGGCAACATAGCAAGGTCCCATCACTACAAAAAATAAAATTAGTTGGCATGGTAGTGCACACCTTTGGTCATGGTTACTTGAGAGGCTGGGGTAGGAGGGTAGCTTGAGCACAGGAGGCGAAGACTGCAGTGGGCTATAATTTGCCATTGCATTCCCACCTGGGCAACAGTGCAAAACCCTGTCTTTAACAAAACAAAACAATCTCATTTACAATAGCAGTTAAAAGAATAAAGCACTTAGAAATAAATTTAACCAACAAGGTGAAAAACTCATACCCTGAAGACTGTAAAACACTGATGAAAGAAATTAAAGTAGGCACAAAGAAATGGCAAGACAACTCACATTCCTTCACTGAAAGAATTAATATTGTTAAATGTTTATACTATTACAAATAATCTACAGATTTGATACAATCCCTACCAAAATTGCAAAGGCATTTTTTTACAGAAATAGAAAATATAATTCTAAAATTTACATGGAATTTCAAAAGACACAAAATAGCCAAAACAATTTTTTGAGCAAGAAGAACAAAGCCAGAGGCATCCCACTTCCTGATTTCAAAAAATATCACAAAGCTGCAGTAATCAAAACAATATGGTACTCTCATAAAAACAGACATATAGATTCATGGAACAAAGTAGAAAGTTCAGAGATAAAACCATGCATAGATAGTCAACTGCTCTTCAACAAGGGAGCCAAGAATATATAATGGGTGAAGAATAGTCTTTTTAATAAGTGGTAATGGGAAAACTGGAAATCCACATGCAAAAACTGAAATTGGACCCCTATATTACCCCATACACACAAATCAACTCAAAATGGATTAAAGACTTACACATACACCTGAAATCATAAAACTTTTAGAATAAAACATAAGTGATAAGCTTCTTGACATTAGTCTTGGCAATAATATCTTGACTATGACGACAAAAGCACAGGCAACAAAAGCAAAAACAGACAAGTGGGACTACCTCAAGCTAAAAACCTTCTGCACAGCAAAATGAAAAGACAACATATACAATGGAAGAAATATTTGCAAACTATACATCTGGTAAGAAGTTAATATCTATCTAAAATACATAGGGAATTCCTACAAATCAAAAGCCAAGAACCAAATAGTCTACTTTAAAAAGTGGACAAAGGAGCTGAATAGACATTTCTTCAAATAAGATATGTAAATGGTCAATAGGTACTTGAAAAGGTGTTTAATATCACTAACCATTAGGGAAATTTAAATCAAAATCACACACCAGTTAGGATGGTTATTGTCAAAATAACCAAAGGTAACAAATGTAGCTGAGGATATGCAGAAAGGGAAATTCTTCTACAGTTGTGGAAGAATTGATAAAGAAAATGTGGTATATACATGCAATGAAATATTATTTGGCCTTAAAAAAGAAGGAAATCCTGCCATTTGTGACAATATGGATGAACCTAGAGGACATTAATCTAAGTGAAACAAGGCAGGGACAGGAGGATAAATACCACATAATACAACTTATATTAGGAATCTAAGATAGTCAAACTCATGGAACCAGAGAGTGGGATGGTGGTTGCCAAGGACTGGGTGAGGGGGAAACAGGGAAGTGTTAGTCAAAGGTCAAGATGTATAATTCTTAGAGATCTATGCTACAGAATAGTGCCTATTGTTCATAATACTGTATTGTATACTTAAAAATTTGCTAAGAGCACAATTTCTTTGTTAAGAGTTGTTACATGCACACACAAAATAATAAATAAAGAGAGTGAGAGGAAACTTTTAGAAGTGGTGAATACGTTTATGGCATATGTTGTGATATTTTCACAGACATATACTAATCTCCAAACTCAAACTCATCAAGTTATGTACACTAAATATGTAGAGTTTATTATATGTCAATCATAACTCAATAAAGTGTTTTTTTTTTTTAAAAAGACCATTAAGTCTTTGTTTAGTGAGTCCAAAGTTTGTGGTTCTTCTGGAACAGATTATGTTCATTTCTTCTGTAAATGGTCCATACTTTCTCATATCTTTGCATGCATCATAATTTTTGGTTGAAAATTTTTGGTTGACACTTTGACTCTTACAGTAACTCTTGAAATCAGACTCTTCCTTCTGCTTGGGGTTTGTTTTGGTTGCTTGGGGTTTGCTTTGGTTGCTTGGTGTTTGTTTGATGACTTTTCTAAACTACTTTTGGCAAGTCTATTCTTTATCACATGTGGTCTTTGAAGTCTGTTCCTTTGACTTATATTCAGCTAGTATTTAGACAGAGATTTCCTTCAATGCAAGAGGAGGGAGAGAGAGAGAGAGAAGAAAAAGAAACCCAGAAAAACAAATCAAAATCTCAAAATCTCTCCCAGTCTTTGCAGATTGGTTCTGTCCTGGGCACTCACTCATCCAGGCCATTTGCAACTCTACCTTAGCCTTCACTTCATACTTGCACTGAACTTAGACAACCACCAGAGGTGCAGGCTCAGAGTCTTCTGAGGTCTTTCTGAGCATGTATCCTGCCCTGAGCATGTATGGGGCTTCCTAAACTCCCCAATACACACAGGCACTTTTGAATGCCCTAATTTTCCATAGGATCTTAGTTTTTCCCCATGCTTTGGTGCTCTGTTGTGTGCCTCCACTGTAATCCTTTGCCCCAGACAGCTGAGATTGCTCATTAATCTTGCAATGCCTGTGCTTTGTAATATTAATGCTTTTCTGCTCTGAGTTCTGAGCTAGGTGAAACCAAGACAAGTGCCTGGGGTCTGTCCTACAGGAAGGCCTTAGGATAGAAAAGACAAACACATTATTTTTGAATAAGGTCTTCTCTGTTCTTTCCAGTGCTAGGGAACCGGGTCCCTCCCTGAGTGAGAAACGTACATGGTCAGTGTTTGCTGCACCAGAGTTAGGAGAATTTCTTCCATATTAGATAGACAGATTTATATACTTTCCCATGGAAGATTAAGAAACTGAAATCTAAGATACATGAAGAAATTGTAAGTGGAAAGGCCACTTAGTGGTTGGTTTACAACAGTATTATAAGTGATAGGGTGATAGAAGTGTGGTAAGTGATTAGGATAATATTCTGCATAGTAAGAGAAACAGTTTGTATTTTTAGAAGAAAATTGCTTTAACATTTGCAAACTAAGGTAATGAGAATACAGTGAATTTCAAAATGTCTTTTTAATGACAATGTGTGAACTTGTTTTAATAAACCAAAATTTGTTGTTATTGTGTTAAGGCTATTTTATGTACTCAGATATCCTTCAAGACCACTGCCAAATTAGGGAGGGTATGGGGCAAGGACACAAAGGACAGACACGCAAAATGCTACTAAGCTTTCATACCATTTTTAGTTGCCTGTTCCTGCATTCAACATTTTCTTAGGTGCTATAAACCTTTGACTGTTTTCCAGAGTTCTAAATAAAGTTGGTTCTGACAGCTTCCCTTTGGTTTCTGTAGAAATGGATTTTTGGTTTTTGGTTTTGGTGGATCTGCCTACTCTGCCATTTCCGCTGCCATCACTTGCACTGCACACCCTCCTGTGTGCCACCCTTGTTTCCAGGATGTTGTCATTCTGCTTAACATTACCCCAGTTCTTTCTCTCTAAAATGCCACCCATATGTGCCTGAGTTTGTAATAAAATTTTAGGGTAAAATAAAATTTAGGGTATCAGTTGGTGATTACGTCACAGCACAATTATGGTAGGTAATCATGTTGACTGAAATATTTGGCTTCTCTGTTTTTTTTTTTTTTTTTTTTTTTTTTTTGAGACAGGATCTTGCTGTGTCACCCAGGCTGGAATACAGTGGCATGATCAGAGCTCCCCGCAGCCTCAAACTCCTGGGCTCAAGCAATCCTCTTGCCTCAGCCTCCCAAAGTACTGGGATTACATGCGTGAACCCCCACACCTAGTCAGCTTCCTTGTTGTTGAACATCCTCTGGTTATTCCCCCCATTAGAAGGCCCCAGCAGCCACTCCCACTGTGCTATGGGTTTCTTTTCCATCTTTTCTGAATCCCCTAGTTTCCTTGTCTGAGTAGGTTCAGTAAAACCGAAAACAGAAAATAGAATCACCAGTAATCTTATTAGCCAATGATAGCAACTATTAACTGTTTGATACATACACTGTAAGATCTTTTAGTCATATATATAAGTAGGTATAAGTATGCATTTATATATATGCATATAAACACACATACATATGTGTGTGTGTGTTTTTCTTCAATAAAAATAAAATTGTAGTAAGGACTTTTTATTTAGATAAATATGTCATTTCAATGGCTATGTAATAGTTCAATTTTGGATATACAATAATTTAACCAGTGTCTTATTAATAAGCATTTAGTTATTTCCATTTATTCTCTATTATAAACATTGCAATGATGGCAACTATTTTAGAAGTTACAAGAATCTTAAAGTGTGTTTTCTTAAGTAGTTTTCTTTAAATATTTTCTTCTACAAGCTGGCACTAAGACAAGATAGTTTTGGATTGCCACCAAAGTTGGCAATCATCAATAAGTATCCAAAATATTTTAAACATTTTTCACCTTAATAGATGACACTCTAACTTCAATAAAATATGTCATTTCAGTTTCGAGTTCCTTTGTAGCCCACAAAGCCTTCATTCTGATCAAATGGATTCATTTATTTGGAGGGGCCTAGTGCATTGCTGCCTTCCTATGGTAGCACTTGCTGCTTTTCCTGGCTAAAGAAGCTGGAAATCACTCCTCTTTCTCACCACTGATCACATGTAATACAGAATTAAACGTTCAGCTCAAATCCTACTTGATCTATAATCTCTTCATGACCTCTCAGCATGAAGTGATTTGTCCTCTCATTGAAGTCCTTTACCACATATTTGTATCACTTTTGACAATTAAATATATACTGTCTTGTAACTTGCACTTTTGTGTTTTCAGATGTTTCAAATTTGCTTATTATTTCCCCTTTCTATAACTATAGAGCGTACTAAGAGGCTGTTGAAGGAAGAGATCAGTCTCACTGTCTTCGTAGCACTGTACCTTACACACAGGAGGAGCCTGGTAAATATTTTTGATTTACTACAATTACAGTAAATCACAGCCTTGTATTAGTAAAATTCTTGTTCAGTTCAATGCCTCTGCATATATAAGCACATAAAAAGAACTATTTTTAAAAAATCACTTTTATCAAGATATTAACATAAAACATTTGTTGCTGACTATAGAGTGGCATTGTTGTAACTGAACTATGTAATATTTAAATCAAAATTATATATTTAAGATTATTTTCTATGTTTTTACAACCTTTAAATTATCAATTAAAATTGTTTGCATAAAGGTTGAATTACTTACCTTGCAAAACCTTAAGTGGAAGCACAGAAATAACAGGAAAACATGAAGAAGCTTCATGTTGGAGGTGTTCGGGGTCTTTGTCTCTGCTGAGAACTCTTTTCCACTCCAGGTATTCTTTTGAAATTTAATTTTTAACCTCTGAAAAAATGTTTCAAAAGAACAAACCTCCTAAAGAGCTTTGTACTTTTGAACTCTGAAAGAATTTGGCTGAAATCCAGAGAGATTTACCGTAACTGAAACCAAAAAATGGCCTTCCCATTAAAGAGCTGAGGGAGGTGACCAATAGGAACTTGTTTCCACCAGAAGAGACTGATTTCCTCCCACCCTGTTAATTGCAATGACTCAATTCTGTATTCCAGGGAAGACAGAAATTATATTGGAAGCAATTTTTTGGTTTTTTTTTTGTACAGTAAAAATATAATTTTTTAAACTTAAGGTTGAAGACTAGGAGACAGTAAGAATAAAAGTAGACCATATAGTGAAGGCTGCAAAATACATTTAAAACTCTAGAAACCAGCTTCTTTACCATGCATTTGTTGTGCTGTGATCAAATTGTATTTTTGGAGTACAAGAAATTTTAAAAACAAGTATTCTTGTGCCAGTACCAACTATCATGCAGGGTTTATCTATTTATGAAATAAATCTGTGATAGCAGAAATGCTGACACAGTTGGGTTCATCAGAAGCAGACTTGAGACAGTGAGTGTGGGGCACAAGTGTTTGTTAGGGATCGATATCCATACAAGGAAGGGAGGGGAAGCAGGGGTGAACAGAGGTAGAAGTTGAACTGGAGTGAGTGTGACCTGTCACAGTGCCCCTGATTTCAGTATAAATGGCTGGGCCATTATATTCTGCCTTGCTTGGTCCCCTACTATATATTGCCCAGGAAGGGCATACACTTAGGTGAGACAGTTTTCTGTAGCTAAGGCAGACACAGAAGGATCTGACAGTTATGTGCTATCAGGAGGAGGTATCTTCTGACTACACTCTTTACAGCCAGGTAGCAAGACCTTCCTTGACAAGGGTTCTGGGAAACTCATCTCTGTGTCTTTCAGAGTACATACTTGCACCTCTTAGATCTATGTTCCATATACACTCCAGGAGTGGCTCCTTAAACATTTCAGTGGGTCCCTATTCTTGAGAGAAAACTTAGAAGAGGAAGTTAATGGGAAAAACTACAGCTCCTACCCTTGCAGTTGATCTTGGGGCTGTAGTTGAAACTTACCCTTGGCCCCCTTCCTATCCATTTTAGATTCCCTTTACCTTGACCTCCCACCTCTGCTGGTCTCGGTGACTTACTGGATGACATGTCCCACACTCTCTTTCAGGAGTGGTCTGAGCCCCTGGTTACCTTTTGTTTCTCAGGCAAAAGTTGCCATTTTTATCCCTACTGTCACAAGAGGCAGGCTGGACATGGTGGCTCACTCCTGTAATCCCAGCACTTTGGGAGGTCAAGGCAGGAGGATTGCTTGAGGCCAGGAGTTTGAGATGAGCCTGGGCAACACAGGGAGAGGTTGAGGCTGCAGTTAGCCATGATTGCACCACTGCACTCTAGCCTAAGTGACAAAGAGAGACCCTCTCTTAAAAAAGAAACCAAAAAAAGCAAAAAATAAGAGGTACCCCAGTAGGTTATGTGGGTTCTACACATCTTCCTCCCTGCCCACATTATAGTAATAGCAGCCCTACTTCCTCGGAATGATCAGGGCCAATTACCCTTGTGGATTCTGACTCTTTCTTGCTAGTTCCTAGACACAAAGAGCCCAGCGTACCCCAGGCAACAGCTCTGGTTTATAATTCCATGGGACTCTTGCTTGCCCCTGGTGAAAGTATAGTCCTTTGGAGACCAAGATAACGAACCCTGCAGAGTCTACAACTGTGGAGACAAGATGCACAAAGCCCCCAGTTGGTCAATGGTGGTGATGGTAAGTGTGGTAATTCTTGCCTTTATTCCTTGGTTCCCAGACCCAGGTATTCTTCCTATTGGGAACATAATGCTATATGAAAGTCTTTGATTGAATGTATATACTGCTTCCTGGAGGATAGCACCCCATTCTCACAAAGTTTTGCATTTAACTGGCACCTCAGCTCTGTCCTCAGCAGCCCATTATAACATTCTGTAAGTCCACCAGCTTCTGAGTGGTGTGGTATGTGATATGACCAGGGGATTGCATGATCACAGGCCCACTCCTGGGCCTGCTTTGCTGTAAAGTGGGCACCCTTGTCTGGCAGGATGTGATCTTTGCTAGATAATTAAGCACTCTATAATTCTCTGGATTATGGTGCTAATGGAGGCCCTGCAGGCAAGAAAGGCACACTCATACCTCAAATATGTCTATTCCTGTAAGAATAGACCACTGACCCTCCAAAGAGTGAAAGAATCAGATGTAATTAATTTGCCACTAAGTGACTAGTTGGTCTCCTTGAGGAATTGTGCCATCTTGTGGGGACAGTATTAGTGTCAGCTGCTGTCAGGTTGGGCATTTGTTAATGATGGGAGCTAGATAAGCCTCGGGGTCTGTGCTATTGGCCTCATGGGTGGCCTCTATCTCTGTTACCACGGTCACTTCATTCTTGTGCCCATCGTGCCAGCAGTGGGGTGGCTGATGACTGAGACTCAGTCATTTTGGCTCAATCGTTTTGTTGAGCCAAACTGGTTGAGCCATTTTGTTGGTTATTTAGTGCCTTTTCTTTGGTGGATGCTTTCTAGTAGGCATTAACATGTGATACAAAGATTTTTTTTCCTTTTTCTTTTTTCTCTCTCTCTTTTTTTTTTTTTTTTCTGAGACAGTGTCTCGCTCTGTCACCCAGGTTAGAGTGCAGTGGCGTGATCTCGGCTCACTGCAAGCTCCGACTCCCGGGTTCATGCCATTCTCCTGCCTCAGCCTCCTGAGTAGCTGGGACTACAGGCGCCCGCCATGACGCCCGGCTAATGTTTTGTATTTTTAGTAGAGATGAGGTTTCACTGTGTTAGCCAGGATGGTCTTGATCTCCTGACCTTGTGATCTACCTGCCTCGGCCTCCCAAAGTGCTGGGATTACAGGCGTGAGCCACCGTGCCTGGCCATGATACAAAGATTTGTATACTTCATGCCCAGTCCTGTATGTACACATATCCATTCTAGATTCTCTTCACTCCGACCTCCCACCTCTGCTGATCTCAGTGACGTACCTGATGACATGACCCACGGTCTCTTTCAGGAGTGGTCTGAACCCTTGGTTACCATTCACTTCTCAGGCTAAAGTTGCTGTTTGCCTCCCAGAACTTTTTGCTCTTGATCTTTGAATATTTTTCATTTCAGGAACAAAAGATGATCAGGAAATCACTATTGCCTGTGATTCTATATAAGTCTAGCCTCAGGCCACCTCTCTTTCCACACGAAGTGGATGACCAGGTGTACCCCCTGCAGCTCTGCCCTTTGGGAGGACTTTCTCTCACCACTGTCTTTCAAAACCACTCCAAAGTGTGGCTGTAAAGCTGCCTCTGTCTATTTTTAACTTGCCTATATACCAAGCCAACCCATCTGTAAACAAAATGTGACCTTTTCTCTCCTCCTTCAGCTGGTCATACCAAATTCCCCAGGGAGCTATAGGTGTGAGCTAAGGAAGGGCCATGAGTGCAACTGTTTGGATGCTGGGGACAGGGGCAGTCTGGGCTACCTGCTACCTGTTTATGCACATTGCTCATACCTCTGGTCCTGTTTGTGTTTGGCTCTGGATGTCACACTTCTATCTTACAATACATTTTTCCTAGGCCTGCTTGTCCTTATACTTTGCGGGTCCATTTGGATCCAGATCATAATGGGCAGTTCTGGCCGTATGGTGATGTAGTGTCCTGTGATTCATTATTCTACATTTACCAGGAACCAGTAATATACAAATTGGTCTTTAAAAGACACACAATTCTCTGCTGCAGATGGCATGGCCTTGCTCCAGAACCCTGAGGTCCTATATTGTGGTTCTCCCACAGGATCTTCCTCAAACACCACACAGCATTTTTTCCCCCATCACTGAGACTTCTGATGCCATAGAGTCTGCTGGACCACTGCAGAAGCCATTTCTGCTTTGGCAGCTGGAGCAGTATTCCCTACTGCAGAATATTTGCTCCCAGAGTCCAAAAAGCCTCATCAGATTTTGTGCTTCCTTCTTTGTTAAAGAAAGTACAAGATACAATAATTTGTCTTTTACATTAAAGAGGATGTGCTAGCACGTTCCTGAACACTGGTTTCCTAAAAATTTTACCGATGTGCCAGGCTTTATTTCCTACCCTCTGGAGCACATCTGTCTTACCAAAGTATTTAGCATGCTACTTCCTCATCTCCTCTGATCAAGATAATGCTATCAATGGAAAAACAATGGTGTCTTATGGGAAATCCAGATGCTCCAGATCTCTGCATATTATATTATATCAGAAGGTGGCAGATAAGGCCTGGGAAAACTTTAAGTGTATATGTTGCCCATTCCATGTGAATGAGAACTGTTTCTGATCCTTTCTGATTAAAATGCCCCCTCTCTCTTGCTCCTACTCCAGCCATGTAATGCACGTGCTTTCCGTTTGCTTTCTGCCATGATTGTAAGTTTCCTGAGGCCTCCCCAGAACCGGAGCAGATGCCAGCATCATGCTTTCTGTACAGCCTGTGGAACCACGAACCAATTAAACCTCTTTTCTTTATAAATTATCCAGTCTCAGGTATTTCTTTATAGCAGTGCAAGAATGGACCAATACAGTAGTTAACAAAAAGAAAATGTAAAGTGCTCATGAGGACTGAAATTTTATTCAGTTTAAGTCTCTTTCCTCCTATGATCTCAATGAAAATAAATATAAAAATAAAAGTAATTCCATTGCACCATTGAAAAATGAAGAAGGATTCATTAATAGGACATAAACAGTGAGGAATTACTAGAATACATATAATAGACAGGAAAAGATTAACTGCAAAACTTAAAGGAGTTTAAGAAGTGTCAAATTCATATAGGTGACAACGAGATATCCAAAATAAGAAAGACCATAGAATAAATAGAAACAGTAGAATCTGAGATAAGTGATAGACTAAGTAATTAATAAATAAAGGGAAGAACATTTGAGCCAGTGCCCCACTCGGGGGTAACTTGAGCATTTACTCCAGGCTAAAGCCTACAGTAAGGCTCTCTATAGCACATGTTCTAACCCAGAACCCCTTGAGTGGACACTGAGGCAGAAGCAGAGAAGCATTCTAGATGACACCAGCCTCCATGAAGTTAAGGGAGTCTCTGAACTTAAGAGGCAAGCCATAGGCAAACCCTTGAGGCCTCATATCCCACCCTTCTCCTGCAGTCATTGAAGGCAGAGCTCTATAATCAGAATCTACAAAAGCAGAGGTACAGCACAATAAAAAGACCAACCTCACTCATGAATATAGATGCATAAACTCTAAACAAAATATTAGCAAACTGATACAAAATCTTGAGTAGTATTCAGTAATCTTACCATTAATAATAATACTTACTTGACAGCATATATATATATATATATATATATATATATATATATATATATATGGAGGCTAAGGCAAATAAATAATTATGCTAATGTCATAAGAATTTCAGGGTAAGACAAACACAAGTTTAAATTCAAAGAAATGGAAACCCTGTAGTCTTAACTTTGAATTGGAAATACCGCTATGACCCTCAGTTTTTTTTCTTTCTAAAAATAATTACCTTCTAGTTGTCCACTGTGTCCACTGATAGGGCCTAGAAGTCCTAACAATCCAGAAGCAATGAGCACTCCTTAGTGGCAGATTGTCTTCTCTACTTACCATTTTCCATTTAAAAAACTAAGGCTCTTTGGAGAAAGGGCGATTCCACATCTGGGGCATAAAATGTGAAAGAAATATTTTGTACCAGAAAGCAAGGAAGCCATTGGAGGCTAGTTGGTGGTATTAAAATACTTGAAGGGGCTCTCAAAGATGAAATATTTTAAGCATTATAAGGAACAATGATAGCAAAAAATTGAAATAAAAAAGGAAATTTCTTTATTTCAGTTAATAATTGCAAAATAAATGATAGAATTATCATATTACTATTTTGCACTACCTTATGAGCCAATGGATCTAGTGATGATCACCAACAGCTGCTAAAACCGTTAGATGAAAAGCTGGCAGGGAACTCTAAGAGATTGATGAGGCTGATAACACTGATCCTACTGACTGATCTCATCTCCAAAGAGGGACAACCAGACTTTATGTGCCTCTTCCTGGGATGGTAGGAAGTATTCTTGCAGGTCGAAAAAAAAAAGAACCTGAACACAATCAAGTCTCTAGATCTCACTATCAATTAACTATCAGTTTATGGGAAATACAGAGGATAGAAAAACAATTTATACCACCACAAGGATAAGAAATATTATGTGTCTCTTCATGGGACGGTAGGAAGTATTCTTGAAGGAGGAAAAAAAGAAAAGAAAAGAAAAGAAAAGAAAAGAACCTGAAAACAATCAAGTCTCTAGATCTCACTATCAATTAACTACCAGTTTATGGGAAATACAGAGGATAGAAAAACAATTTATACCACCACAAGGATGTAATCAGTGAGAAAGTAGAAAATTCTACATGACAAAAAGACTCAGTATTTTCAACAAATAAATGCCATGGCGGGGCAGGGCGGGAAAAAAAACAGGGAGAGGAAATTGACACAGAATAAAAGAAAATTAAGAGACATATCAATAAAATACAATGTATGGCCCTTGTTTGGATCTTCATTTGATTGATCCAATTATTAAATTACATTTTGAAATAACTTGGAAAAATTCCACATGGACATTCGCTAATACTAAGAAAATTTTTGTTAGGTGTGGTAATGGTACTGTGCTTATGTTTTTTAAAAAAGTCCTCTGCTGGAGATTTATGAACAGAATGTTTACTATAAAACACTCTAGCAATAATAATTTTAATAATAACAGTGAGGAAATAGGAGGAATAACATTTGCAAAAGGCTGAAGGTGTTGTACAGAGAAGTTCATTATATTGCTCTTTCAACTCTTGTTTACGTTTGAAATTTTCATAATAAAAACCAAATAAAAGAGAAAGTCATGAGTTCACATTAATATTTACAATTAATGGCACCTTGGCTAAGTACTTCTTTTTTTTTTTTTTTGAGATGGAGTCTCACTCTGTCACTAGGCCAGAGTGCAGTAGCATCATTTTGGTTCACTGTAACCTCCGCCTCCCAGGTCCAAGCTATTCTCCTGCCTCAGCCTCCCGAGTAGCTGGGACTACAGATGTGTGCCACCATGGCCAGCTAATTTTTGTATTTTTAGTAGAGACGAGGTTTCACCATGTTGGCGAGGATGGTCTTGATCTCTTGACCTCGTGATCCACCCACCTTGGCCTCCCAAAGTGCTGGGATTATAGGTGTGAGCCACAGTGCCCAGCCTTTTTTTTTTTTAGGTGGAGTCTTGCTGTGTTGCTGGAGTGCAGTGGCACGATCTTGGCTCACTGCAACCTCAGCCTCCCGGGTTCAAGTGATTCTCCTGCCTTGGCCTCCCGAGTAGCTGGGATTACAGGCCCACGCCACCAAGCCCGGCTAATTTTGGTATTTTTAGTAGAGAAAGGGTTTCACCATGTTGGTCAGGCTAGTCTCCAACTCCTTACCTAAGGTGATCTGCCCCCCATCAGTCTCCCAAAGTGCTGGGATTACAGGCGTGAGCCACCATGCCTAGCTTCAGCTAAGTACTTTTAAAATTTTGTTCTAATATAAAAAATTTCAGCCCTATTCCTAGCTACCAGCCCTCTTCTCTGTCATTAGCAATACAGTCTCCCAACTTACAATGGTTACACTGAATAATTTTTCTACTTTACAATGGTGTGAAAGCAATAAGCATTCAGCAAAACCTGTATTTCAAATTTTAAACTTTGATCTTCTCCCTGGCTAGTGATATGCGTGCAATATTCTCTTATGATGCTGGACAGCAGCAGCAAATGAGACTCTCCAGTGTGCTGTGCTGCCAGATGGTTTTGCCCAACTGTAGGCTAATGTAAGTGTTCTAAGCACCTTCAAGGTAGGCTAGGCCATGCTATGATGTTCAGTATGTTACATATATGAAATGTATTTTCCACTCAGATATTTTCAACTCATGATGGGTTTATTGGGATATAACCCCATCGTTAAGTTGAGGAACATCTGTATCTCCTTACTGGTATTTTAATTAGATGTCCTAACCTTCCAGTGAAACAACTGGATGGACACCTTCTTAGATCTTGAATACCACAACTAGACTGTGCTTAATATACTTTCTCTACCCCCATCTCTTTCATATTTTCTTTGTCTCTTTGACCATCATTCTATGATCATTTGTTGATAAGTAGGTTCTCAAGGCATGAGCAGAAATTCAAAGCACAGAGGAATTCAGTTCCATTTAACAAATATTTATTGGGCATCAGCATCAATTTTATTCCAGGCACTGTACTAAGTGCTGAGGGTACCAAAACAAAGAAGATGTAGTTGTCATTCTTCAGGAGCTTATACTCTAGCGTGAGTTTCTGCAGATGTCATTAGGGGTCTAGGAGCGGTTACTAGGGATTCCAGAAGAGATTGGAATTTTTTTTTTTTTTTGGCATTCTTTTGAACTTCTTTCTCCATGTAATGCCAACACTTGTAGTAAATGACTAGTGATCAAACAACTCTGTTAGGAATTTCGCTAGAGGTCATTCACAAACATGACAGTGCTCCACACAACTATGTTCATTTCATTGAGTCCATTCTCAGCTTTTGATGCAAACAGGGGGTGCTGTTGATGATTGGTGGGTGCTGAATTAAGGAGGGACAACAGGTTGAGGGAGAGGGAGAGACAATAGGTTGATGACATCAGCCTCTCCTTCCTGATTTACATTTCCTAATCTCCCCTGGCCTCCCTTTATTCAGTCAACTGACAGGTAACGAGCTCTCCTGATGTAATAGACAATCAAAGACAACATTTTAAGGAAGCAATTTTAATGCCCCATAACTCAAATGCCTCCCTGTTGCTTTGCTAATGTTGTAAACGTTGTAAAACACGGTGTCACGCTCGTCCGTGTTCATGTGAAGAGTCCACCAACAGGCTTTGTGTGAGCAACAAGGCTGTTTATTTCATGTGGGAGCAAGTGGGCTGAGTCTGAAAAGAGTCGGCAAAGGGAGGTGGGGTGGGGCAGTTTTATAGGACTGGGATAAGCAGTGGAAAGTTACAGTTAAAGGTGGCTATCTATTGTCAGCAGAGGAGGGGGTCACAAGGTGCATGGTGGGGAGATCATAAGACCCATGGTCCAGAAGAAGAATGTCACGAGGTCGATCAATCAATCAGTTGGGCAGGGAAGGAACAGGTCATAATGGAATGTCTTAAGGTTGGTCAATCAGTTAAGACAGGAGCAGGCTGTTTCTCTTCCTTTGTAGTTTTCAGTTGACTCAGGCCATCTGGATGTATACACGCAGGCTTGGGCTCAGAGGCCTGACACATGGAGCTTGCAGGTTAAAAGTGAATTGCATTTGAAGATATCATTTTTTAAAAAAATTTCCTTGTTTAGTTTGCTTGTTTTATACTTGATTAGCATCTGTGTTTTACAAACATGACTTATAGTCCAATGTGGTGATTTTTGAAGATGAACTGGGAGATGGAAGAGAATTCTAAGTCTTAATAATTCTGATAAAGTTAGTAATGAAGAATCACAACTTATAAATGAAGCAATGGCTCCAGCAAAATTGAAAAGACACTTAACTGCAAACCATAGTAAAGGAGCAGATAATTTTATATGGCCTTTGGAAACCCAGAGTAAAGAATGTATTTATTTTTTTAAGTCACCTTCAGTAAAAAGGCCCAGAAAGCAAGTTATTTAGCAGAAGAACCTTTTGACTAGAAAAGGAAAGAGCCCCACAATTGATGGGACCTCACAATTTCAGCATGTATAATTACAGAGAGTCAGACGCCAGCATATGATGTAATGAGAAACTAAAACGGTTTCACTTTCAAAGTTTGATAAATTGATGTGATTGATGACATGTCACATAATGCTGCATAGCATCAAAAGAACCTAACAACTTCTCATCCAGGTTGATGAATCATCAGATTTCAACAACAAATGTCATAAAGTAGCATTTGCAAGATTTATAAATTACGGCAAAATTCAAGAAAATTTTTCTTCTATTAAACACTGCTGCAAAGAAGCAAAGGTAAAGATATATTTACTGTCTTCATATTGGAAAAAGAAGGTACCTCTTGGAAGAACTGTGTCAGTATCTATTTATGGTACCCTATCAACGATTGGTTCCCTCAGAGATTTCAATTCTCATTAAAATCCTGACATATTCACAACTCATTGCTTTCTTCCCAGAGAGTGCTGATGTCAGAAAGTTTTGGAGCAGAAATGAAAAAAGTTCTAGATGATGCTATGAAGATGACTTATCAAACATAATGCAATTCACTTCTAAAAATTTTTTTTTTTAAACTATGTGAAAACCTGGACAAGGCCCATATAAATCTCCTTCCACATGCGTAAATCTTATGGCTTAGCAGATCATTTTGGGGGAATCCAGCTGGCATGTCATGTCAGTACTCAAGCACCCTGTAAAGAGGTCTGTATGGCAAGGAACTGGGGCTGGCAGTAGGCAGCATCAGCTTGCTAGGCATGTCAGTGAGCTCCCTCAGAAAAGGATCCTCCAGCCCTAGTCAAGTCTTCAGTGGACTGCAGCCCCAGGTGATACCTTGACTGCAACCTTATGAGAGACCCTGGGTCAAAATCATCCAGCTAAGCTGCTCCTTAATTTCTGACCTACAGAAATTACACAAAATAATGTTTATTGACACTACGGATTGGAGTGAGAGAAGGTAATACAGATTCTGCTCCTTAACAGGACGCTTGACCTAGAAAGTGAATCACAGAAATACATTCAAGAAAACAGTAGCCCAGATTTTACCAAATTCTTTGAAGATAAAGAATGGCTGTGGAAACCAGCATTTTTGTTTTTTTTTGCATTGCTGTAAAGAAATGCCCAAGGCTAGGTAATTTATAAAGAAAGAGGTTTAATTGGCTTATGGTTCTGGAGGCTTTACAGGAAGCATGGTGCTGGCATCAGTTTCTGGTGAGGTCTCTAGAAGCTTACAATCATGGCGGAAGGTGATGGGGAGCCAGCATGTCACATGGCAAGAGTGGGAGCAAGAGAGAAATAGAAGAGGTCACAGACTCTTAAAACAACCACATCTCAAGTGAACTGAGTGAAAACTCACTTATCACCAAGGGGATGGTGCTAAGCCATTCATGAGAATTCTGCCCCCATGATCCAATCACCTCCCACGAGGTCCCATCTACGACACTGGGAATCAAATTTCAGCATGAGATTTGGAGGGAACAAACATCCAAACCATATCACCTACTTAACAGACATTTTCATCACATGAACTAGTTGAACAAGGATCTTCAGGCCCTGGAGAAAATCGTTTTACTTCGAGTGACAAGATTTTTGGGTTTAAATAAATATTGAATCTTTGGAAAAGTTATATTGCAAAAAGGGATCTTGAAATGTTTCCACTGCTGCTTGGACTTTAGAATAAGGAAGTCTCAAGTCTTACCGAAAACCACCGTGGGGAATTGCAGAACAAAACCGAACAATATTTTCCTTCCCCTGGAACACAACTGTATAACTACGTGAGGAACCCTTTCCTTGAATCTTCTCAGCCTGAGCACCTGGCTTTGAGAAAAGAGGAAGAACTTTGTGAATGTATGACTGTAGATATAAGATGAAATGTACTTATTTGTGTTTCTCCTTCTTTTTTTTTTTTTTTTTTTTTTTGAGACGGAGTCTTGCTCTGTTGCCCAGGCTGGAATGCAGTGGCGCAAT
Organism: Homo sapiens; assembly: GCF_000001405.40. Lineage (NCBI taxonomy): Eukaryota > Metazoa > Chordata > Mammalia > Primates > Hominidae > Homo > Homo sapiens. Next base: position 109,813,751 of record NC_000004.12, read on the forward strand.
CTTGGCTCACTGCAATCTCCGCCTCCCGGGTTCAAGCGATTCTCCTGCCTCAGCCTCCCAAATAGCTAGGATTACAGGCGCCCGCCACCACGCCCGGCTAAGTTTTGTATTTTTAGTAGAGACAGGGTTTCACCATGTTGGCCAGGCTGGTCTTGAACTCCTGACCACAGGTGATCTGCCTGCCTCAGCCTCCCAAAATGCTGGGATTACAGGCGTCAGCCACAGCACCTGGCCTGATCTGTGCTTCTACAAGTTTTGGATTTCTGAGAAAGAAGAGCAGCTTGACATTTTTAAGAAAGTAATAAACATTTTGACATACTTTAAAACTTCTTGTTCAAGCAAGCTTTTTCTCACTAAGTTTTAAGAGTAAAGACAAAAATCATCTCATTTCAGTTGAAAATGCAATCTGTGTGTGACAATCTCAAGTTCAATTCAGAATTGAGCAAATACACAGCAAAAGATAAGCAAAGGTTTCATACTAAATAGGTAATTTTCATTTTTTGTTTCAAAAATAATACACTTATATAGGCCCATAAAAAGACCAACATTCGTTAAAATCAAATTGCAGCATTTACTAAACTAAAAGAAAAAGAACAAGTAAAGTTTCCTCTCTCACTTATTTTGTTTTTTGTTTGTTTTGAGACCAAGCCTTGCTCTGTCGTCCAGGCTGGAGTGCAGTGGCGTGATCTCGGCTCACGGCAACCTCCGCCTCCCGGGTTCAAGCGATTCTCCTGCCTCAGCCTCCCGAGTAGCTGCGATTACAGGCGTGTGCCACCATGCCCGGCTGATTTTTGTATTTTTAGTAGAGAAGGGGTTTCACCGTATTGGCCAGGCTGGTCTCGAACTCCTGATCTCAAGTGATCCATCTGCCTTGGCCTCCCAAAGTGCTGGGATTACAGGCGTGAGCCACCACGCCCCGCCTACAAAGGTATTTTAAAATCCCATTTACAATAACCCTCTGAATTAGATAGGTACCAAGTTCCACCCTCTTCTAAACACGAGATCAAATATCAAGGTAAGGTCTCAGAGGGTTTGGGTGTAAAAGACTCCAACCAAATTTAATAAATGGGAAGTCATTACCTTTATTTGTGAGAGAAGCTTTGGAGAATGTGGGGGAAGCTGATGTCAAATATAAAGGGCTTAAAGAGAGAAGAGGGAGAGGAGCTTTCAGCACAGTCCAGTTCACAGCCCGTCGGTGCTCAAAACATACTTGAATACCTGGTACAAAAGATAAAAATGATGGTTTGGTTTTCTATAAGACAGCATAGTTTCTTTAAAATTACACACACACATGCATTGCTTTTCTTCCTTTAATTAGTTGAGACCATAGGACAAAAGAAGAGGCATAGTTGAGCGCGTAATGGTGCGAAAATCAAAAGGTTGGGAAGAAACAAGAAACTCAGATAAACGCTTCCGTCGGCTGTGACAGGTTCTGAGGCGCCCAGATCTACTGGACATAGCGCGGCTCAGAAGCCTCAGAGACCTGTCCGCACAGTTCCTGAAGTTAGCAACAAATTAGTGAGTGCTGTTGCGGGCCATTTTGCAGCCAGAGAAGCAAATGCGCAAATGCGCCCAGCCAGTCAGCACGGACTTCAAGAACCAACTTCATTCCTTGCAAGGTGCTTTAGTTCTGGCCGTTAGGGCGGCAACCAAACAGAAACCTGCCCCGCCTCTGGGAGAGAAGGCGGATCCCTAACGCCAGCTATCTCCAAGAGCAACATTGCCGCAGCACTTCCGGGACGTCGTGCTGCAAAGGACGCCGCTGTTATACGTCACTTCCACGGCTCAGCGTCAGGCAAGTTGGCCTCTCTGTTGTAAATTAGTGGTTAAGGTTATCTATTATTGCCACTTTTCCAGCGCTAAAGGCTGTTTTGGAACCAGTGTTGCTTGTTCCGCGGGTGATTGGCTTTTTTTTTTGGCAAACCAGTTATTCAAGTTTCTGGTCTTTAAAAAACTCTGTGGCGGTACGGTAACCGAGGAGGTTCCAGCGCGGCGGAAGTACCCCGCGGGTGGGTGTGTGCGCAAGGCCAGGGCCAGAGGGGCACGTGGCGCCGGTGAGTGGCCGTAGAAGCCGGAGGATTTGAAAATGCTGGACGTGGAACCCAACTGCCGGAGGGAGGGAGGAAGGAAGGGGATGCGGTGCGAAGACCTTGCTGTCTGTAGGGGGAGGAGATACTAATCATGGGGCGGCAAGGGTGGTGTGTGGTCGGTCGGCGCTCACGAGACCATGGAGAAGTAAACTCTTCACCCATCAGGTTGGTGGTCACTGGCTGTCTGACCGTGGGTGAGGTGACAGGGCTGCTTTTGTCTCCTTTATGGTGTTCTCACCGCAGCTCCGAGGGGTTGGAGTATACTCAGAGGCTACAGTGATCAGAAGACATAGGTCGTTTTTTTTTCATCAGGGAGGAGAGAGAATGTCTTTTCGAGGCGGAGGTCGTGGAGGCTTTAATCGAGGTGGTGGAGGTGGCGGCTTCAACCGAGGTGGCAGCAGCAACCACTTCCGAGGTGGAGGCGGCGGTGGAGGCGGCGGCAATTTCAGAGGCGGCGGCAGGGGAGGATTTGGACGAGGGGGTGGCCGCGGAGGCTTTAACAAAGGCCAAGACCAAGGACCTCCAGAACGTGTAGTCTGTATGCAGTCTTCAGTATTTAGCTTATTTGAAGGAGTAGGTGTGGGTTGGGGGTTTGTGTTGTTAGGCAGCAAGTTTGGGATACACAAGCCTGTGTGGAGAATGTAGCATGTAAGGGTGGAGTGGGGAGATCAAGAAAGCTGAGGGATACTTAGAATGCATCTTGGAGGTGGAACTTGAGGGTTGACAGGAAGATATTAAATAGGTAATCGTGAGTACTTATGCCTAATTCCCCGATTTTACAGATGAGAAAACTATGATTTAGAGTTAAGTTTTTTTGCTGGGGTCATAAGGTTAGTGATAAGTGATCAATTAGTGATATAGCTGAAATACAGGCTGGGTGCGGTGGCTCACGCCTGTAATCCCAACACTTTGGGAAGCTAAGACGGGAGGATCTTTTGAAGCCGGGAGTTAGAGACCAGCCTGGATAATAAAGCAGGAGACCCTGTCTGTACAGAAAAGAAAGAAATACAAAGCCAAGTATTCTGACTCCAAAGCCCATGCTTTCTGTTACTACTCAAAAGTAGATAAGTGAGAAAACAATTTGCTTGAGAGGGAAACTGCCAGAGAGGAAATCTAGAAAAACACCTATTTAGGGTAGTTTTAGAGTAATTAACAATGAGATGGGAATGGAAGTCACAGAAAGTGAAACTTACTACATTAAAGAGGAGAGAGGGTGAGTAGTGTCTAACTAAGAATGGCTTGGATGAGTATGCAGGATGGTTTGAAAGGAGCAGTTTCTAGAATAAAAGGTCCCAGCCCACAAGCTGTTGTACCAGTCCATACATGAGACCTTGAGAGCCTGAATCAGGATGGTGACAGTGAGGAAAAAAAAGGAAGGGTTAGATAGGAGAGAGATTTCAAAGGAAACAAAATCGGTAGAACTTAGCTAATGCTGATAATAAAGGGTTCCAGGTTTTGAGCTTGGGTGATAGGAATGAAGACTTGGTTTTGCAGGAATGTGGTATTTTAGTTTGGGGTGACAGTCTAGTTAGAAATAAAGGTAGTTATTTTGAGATTCCAGATGTCCTTGAAAACAATGAATCATTGTTAAAGAGGTGGTAGTGGGAATGGAAAAGTTCTAAGGCAAGAGAAAAAAAAAAAGAATGAAGGCTGATTCTGTTAGGCATTGAAGAAAAGGGAGAACCAAGAGAATGAAGCAGAGTTTTGAATCAGATAATAAGTTGTAATAACATAACTGTTACAGGTTGAATGGTGTCAGTGTGCCAGGCACTGTTCTAAGCACTTGACATTTGTTATTCCATTGAGTGCTTACATTACTGTATATTAGGTATAGCTATACATTATATGTTATTAGTGCATACTAAAAATGAGACACTGAATTAGAGAGAGGGTGGGTAACTTCTCCTAGGTCAAATAGCTAGTGTGTTGTGGAGTTGGTATACCAGCCCAGGAAGTCCTAAGACTGTGGTCTTCTGCCTCAGAGGAGAGCAGTTATGGTGAAGTCCCAGGTAGCCAAAAAGAAAGCTTCCAGAAGCAGTTGGTCAGTATCGTTTGAAATAGTTCTATGTTTTAACATTTTCTTGTCCTGTTTCAGTATTAGGAGAGTTCCTGCATCCCTGTGAAGATGACATAGTTTGTAAATGTACCACAGATGAAAATAAGGTGCCTTATTTCAATGCTCCTGTTTACTTAGAAAACAAAGAACAAATTGGAAAAGTGGATGAAATATTTGGACAACTCAGAGATTTTGTATCCTTTTTCATTGGAAGGCCTGATAATATTCAAAGGTTGCTATTTGCATTTTTCTGAGGAGGCAGTTAAGTATAAATTAAAGTTGTTGCTTCATTAAATTAGACAGGATTGCTACAGATTGGACCATGAAGGAGAATCAAGGGGAGAATGTATTCATCCATAGATATTAAAATGACAGACCCTAGAACGGTGACTTTTTTTTTGGAAAATTCTATTAATGATGGCCATTTGGATAAGTACTACAGGATTAAGTTGGCTGATTTGGATGTAGTGGTGCCACTGGAAATGTAGAATTAGAAGTTGTTTGGTGCCCCCACTACTCTGGAAACTCCTTCCTTCCTTTCTCTCTCTCTCTTTTTCTCTTTCTCTCTTTCTTTCTTTCTCTCTCTTTCTCTCTCTCTTTCTTTCTCTCTCTTGCTCTTTCCCTGCCTTCTTCCCTCCCTCCCTTCCTCCCTTCCTTCCTTTCTTTTTTCCTTTTTTTTTTTTTTTTTGACAGAGACTCACTCTGTTGCCCAGGGTGGAGTGCAGTGGCACGATCTCATCTCACTACAACCTCCGCCTCCTGGGTTCGAGCAATTCTCGTGCCTCAGCCTTTCAAGTAGCTGAGATTACAGGTGAGCGCCACCATGCCCGGCTGATTTTTGTATTTTTGGTGGAGGTGGGGTTTCACCATGTTGGCCAGGATGGTCTCAAACTCCTGGCCTCAAGTGATCCATCCGCCTTGGCCCCCCGAAGTGCTGGGTTTGCAGGTGTGAGCCACCACGCCCAGCCCCTGGAAATTCATTTCTTATCTTTCCTATATATATCCATACATTCTAACCTTGTTTTTGAAATTATACATGAATTCAGAACATTTGATATCATCTTTCATCTTAATTGCTCATTTGTTCCTTAATGAAAATAATAGTATTTTTCAGTTAAGTTGTCAGAAAACATGAAGGCTTCATCCTTTAAAAAACTACAGAAGGTGAGTCAAACTTATGATACTTGGGATCCTTGGTTTTATAAGGGAACGACCTATCTTAGGAAAGTCCTACTTGGAGCACTTGAGACTTTCCCAACATATCACTAGTAAAGCTCTTAAATTGAAATGTTCCATGCTATAAATATTGAACACACTAATCTTTAAAAGTGATTTATTTGATACAGCCTTTAGAAAGTAAAAATTACAACTTTTGCTCATATTACCAAAATCTGTAAACTGCTAGAGTAAGAGTTTTTTGTTTATGTAAAACTCTCTTATTGAAAAGCTTTCATGACCAAACATTCTAGGTAGAATCTTAATTTGTAAAACTTACGTTATTTGAGAGGCGGTAGGTACTAAGTGATTTCACAAGAACTTCAATAACATGATATATGCTATGAAGGAAAAATACAGGTTGCCATGAGAAGCTTTGTAGTGCCACCAGCTTTTTAAGTCTGTAGTGTTTCCTGAAAAAGTGAGCTTGAAGCTGAGGCCTGATTGTTGACTAACAGTGATTTCCACACCTGGTTGCATGTCAGAGTTATCTTGGGGAGCTTTTAAGAAGATGTATCTCTAGTTTCCACTTCTGGAAATTTGACCTAGGAGCTCTTAAGTAGCGTCCAGGATTCAATTTTAAAAAGGAAAAGCACTTGGATAATTTTGATGTAGTTAGTCAAACACTTGAGAGCTGCTGAGCTAGTCAAAGAGGAAGAGGAAAGTGCATTCCAAGTAGAGAAAACAGTATGTGCAGTCTCTGAGAGCAGGCAACTGAAAGGATACAAAAAGGCAGACATATAGGTTAGGAATGAAACATTTAGGAGAGGTGGGGAAAGTTGTGAATTAAGACCAGAGAGGTAGGAGGGGGCTTGATTAACTTAAGCCTTCAGGTGACAGGAAAGAGTTTAGACCTTAGTTTCAATTGTGTTTTATTTTTGAATAATGGGATAACACAGTTAAATGAATGCTTCAAAAGAATACTGGGAAGATAAAAAGGCACCTTGGGAAGCGGTCAATATTGTGTGAGAGGGGCCAGATAGGAGGCTATAATAGTAGTTCTAAAAGAGATGGTATTTTGGACTCGGTAGTGACAGTGGAAATGGAAAAAATGGATTTATGAAAGATACAGGAAGTAGAATCAATAGGACTTGGTAATTGACTAGCTATTGAAATTGAAGAAGTAAAAAAATCACCATCTTTCAGATGTCTGACATCAACATCTTTGTGGGTGATGGTACCAATTAATGAAATGGGCAACAATGCAGAGGAGGGGGATTGGGGGAAGATAATGAGTTGGGTTTTGGACATAGTGAGGTTGAGGTACTTGTGAGACAGTCATGGTCAGTTTAAAGGAAGAGTCTAGACTGGAAATAGAATTGGGAATTTGTTAAGTATACAGACAGTACATGAAACATTGTAGGAAGAAAGAATGAAAGGAAAAGAGCACCTATGAAGAGTTTTGGGGCACCTCCTAAAACTAAAGGTCTGGTAGTGGAAACTCAGAAGTAATTGCCAGTTAAAAAAAAAAAGGCAAACCACAAGCCTGTCATAAAAGTGGTATCACAAAAATTGAAAGAGTGTTTCCAGGAGGGACTGCTCAGCTATGGCAAAAGGCTGCAAAGTGTTCATTGGAAGACAGCCACATAGACATCAGGGAGTCATGGAGCCAGTGCATTGGTGGGCCCGGGAGCCAGAATGGATTAGGAAATGAGAGGGAGACAATAGCTTGTTGTCAGCATATGGCTACTAGTTGTAGAAACCTTGGCAAGTACTCAGGGGATTGACTGCTTCTGGCGTGCCTGGAGCTGTTGAGCCCAGAAAGAAACAATGCTGAAAAGGGATTCTCATCTTGTGACCTGAAAAAAAAATGCTGGTAATAGCCACTTAAATTCATCAGAATCCCTTAAATCACTTAAATTTCTCAGAATTATTTATTTGGGGGCTTATTGTTTAGTTTTTTGGGTTTTTGCTTTTTAATTACAGATACTAACTTGAGTACATTCTACCTCTCCCGGTTTCCATACCCCCTGCTATGTTGAGATTCAGCCCTCCTTACCCAGCCTGCGTTATTGTGAAGTTTGTAGACCAGTGCTCTCCACTTGAACTTTTTGTAGTGATGGGAATCCCTGCCCAGTAAAGTAGCTCTTAGCCACATGTAGCTATTGAGCACGTGAAGTGTGGCTCATGTGACTCAGGAACTGAATTTTTAAACATTAATTAATGTAAATATAAGCCACCTGTGGCTGGTGGCTGCCATATTGAACAATGTAGATCTAGACAATATTTTTGAGATGATGGGCTGTGAAGGGAAGATGAGTAATAAGGTGATATCTAGAGAGGGATTCAGAGATCTTATTATAAGTCATATATTACAGTTTTGAAATCCTCGTGTGTTTTATGTAGAAGAACTATGATACAATATGCTCTTTACATCTCATTATTTGAGAAATGTCCTCTTTAACCCCAATTATAGGATGGGTATAGTTTCTGTATATCCTTCATTACTTTGTGTGTTCAGAAGATACCCTTTTGATCCTTTATTAAAGACTTGAAACAACTAGTATGCGAATGCTTTATTTTGAATTTTAATGCTGTGTTTTTTAATAGTTTTATTTTTCTTACGGCAGTTCTGTTGAGTGGAAATGTTAAATAATCTATTTCTAAAGAGAAATGATATTGAATTGGTCTTGATTTTTTAATATGCATGTAATGCTTATTGTGTGCCAAAGTACAAGTGCCTTATATACATCACTTTTTTGATCATCACACAAACATGTGAGATAGATACTCTATTCTCTACATTTTACAGATAAGGAAACTAAGGTAAACTAACACAGGAATAGAAAACCAAACACCACATGTTCTCACTCGTAAGTGAGAGTTGAACAGTGAGAACACATGGACACAGGGAGGGAAACATCACATACCTGGGCCTGTCGGGGGATGGGGGGAAGGGGAGGGAGAGCAATAGGGCAAATACCCGATGCATACGGGGCTTAAAACCTAGATGATGGGTTGATAGGTGCAGCAAACCACCATGGCACATGTGTACCTATGTAACAAACCTGCACGTTCTGCACATGTATCCCAGAACTTAAGGTAAAAAAAAAAAAAAAAAAAAAAAAGAAACCTAAGTTAGTAAGAAATTAAGTCTCTACCCAGGGATATGTAGTAGAAAGTGGTAGGATTGGGGTTTGAACCCAGGCAGTTTTGACTCTATCATGTAGCTTCTTAATGATTATATTATACTGTCCCCCAAGTTGTATACTAATTGCTTCTATTATGTTTCCAGTTTTATATAGACCCATATAAGCTGCTGCCACTGCAGAGGTTTTTACCTCGACCTCCAGGTGAGAAAGGACCTCCAAGAGGTGGTGGCAGGGGAGGCCGAGGAGGAGGAAGAGGAGGAGGTGGCAGAGGTGGTGGCAGAGGCGGTAAGTTACTTGGGGAAAATTTCTAATGAAATTAACTGTGACTTTCACAGCTAATTCATACAATACAATTTAGCTTTGTACATAGCAAACCTCCCTTATGGTTCTTTTTATTAAAGCTGCTTTCCAATATTGGCAGATTGTCCATAATAATAATGCTTCATTTCAACAACTTACTTAAAAAGAAGAAAATCTACTAAAGTATACTTTTGAGGGACTTCATTTCTTTGGGTTATTCATGTTTTCTTGGACATTTTAATAAACCGTAAGATTATCTTAATTTTAATTCCTTAGTTAATATTATTGAGTGTAGACTGCATGCTGAAAGCTGGTCATACATTCTTTTAATTTCCATGTATATATTTTTAATACTCAGCGAAACCTTTTGAGATAGATGATATCCTTATTTTATGAATGAGGAAACGGAGACTTACAGAAATTAATTTGCCCCAATCAAACAATTGGCAGACCCAAGAATTAAAATGCATATCTTCTGATGTCATGTCAAGAACTATTACTAATAAATTCATTACTGTGATCTCACTGTTGTGATGTATGCCTTTCCCCCAAGGTTTTGGGGTATTTTGATGTATGCCTGTTTTGATGTATGCCTTTCCCCTAAGGTTTGGGCACATTCATCATTATGGACAGCTAGGTGATGAGCAGGGCTCTGGGGAGTGGGGCTGCCATGCCCTGTGAGTAGGAGAAGGGCGAGTGATGGGGTGATGGGCAGAGCCAAAGTGGAAAGGGAGAGGAGCTGAAAGTTGGGCTTGGACAGCTTTTGTTACTGGATCAGAAAAAGAGAAGGAACGCCTCACTTTTGGCGTTTCTCAATTTAATCACCATTTCACTCCATAAAGGTATTTTTTTGTGTCCATATAGGTAGGAAAATTCTCAGGGGTACCTTCTTGAGAATTTGATGAACAGAGATTCCCCTATTCTCATGTTATGTTGAGTATCATTTAACATTTCAAAAAATTCACAGCTGTCTTATTTTTTTAAAATCTTACTTATGTAGCTCAGTTAATCTTAACTATCATATTTATTATCTTACCCCCAGAGCAAAAGCACCCATATCTGCCACCCTTTGTTGTTAGGATAAAAAGCCACAGTTCCATCAAACTATCCTTAGTTGAATCAAAAAAGTATTTATCATAAGCAAGAGCTAAGGCAATAGTCATACATTTAACAAGACTGAATCATACTTTAACAAGTTTTTCTAATTTATTGAAATGGAATAATCTGGGGTTTTAGCCTGTTGCCCAGTTGGTAAACTACTACAGTTTCTCCATTTTTATCTTCTAAAATTTTTTCCCTGATAAAATATGTGAATCTATATTTATTCATTATAATTATAGTTATTGTATTGATCTTTTTAGGCTTATCAATATAAGAGGTTATACAGTTAATAACTTAATGATTATTATATTCTATTGTTATTTAAATACTTTGCGTTATTATTTAATAAATGTTTTTTAGGTGGTTTTAGAGGTGGAAGAGGAGGTGGAGGTGGGGGCTTCAGAGGAGGAAGAGGTGGTGGTTTCAGAGGTGAGTATTTTAAAAAGTCTTTAAATTGCTTAATGTTTAAAATTGATATTATCTGGCATTTTCTGTTTTTACTTAAGTTTAATTTTCTCTGCCAGCAAGTATATAGAACACCATGGTGTTCTTTGCTTAGCCTAATTTGTGGTTTCATTTTATATCACTTTTTTTTTGCCTTTTCTTTTCAATTTTTTCACCTAATTCTAATTTGTTTTGCTTTATTATTAATTTGAAAAATAAAGGTGTAATATGAATGACAGTTAAATTTGGTAAAGTATGTTTGCTAAACATTATTGGAACTAATGCTGATTTTAAACTTGAGATTTAGGTTATAATACTATTAAAAATCCATTTTCTGTGCCCTTAATACTTTAATTTTCTCTTAATCAGGGAGAGGACATTAAGTGAAACAGTTGACAGACATCACCAGTTGACTTCTGCATTAACCTGCATGATCTGTTTCTACTATGGATTGGAAACTTGTTTCTTGAACAAGTCTTGAAGATCTTGGTCATTTTATGACAATGGATCTAAAATGTCAGCATCATGCAAAGTGCAACGGAATAGTGAATTTTGCTCTAAAAGAGCATGAACAAGTCTTTCTAATGTTTTGTACAGTGCCTGGCACTCTGTGGGTGCTCAATAAATGGATAGGAGTTTTCATTTGAAGCATATTTGAATTTTTAAAATAAAGTGTTTTATTCCCTTAAGTTATTTAGAGTGTGTTTATTAAATGAAACCCATTTTTTAAAGTAGAAAGGAATAACTAAAGCTTAAACCCAGTGAATTGCAGATCGAAAAAAGGATTTGTTTATTTATATTACTGATCTTTTAAAAAATAGACTACTGTAGCAGTACTTTAAGATAATTTACAAGTTGACACTGCCTTTCAAAACCCTGGCCTTTTATGTATGAGAAGATAGCTTTGTATTTGCCTTTTGTATTTTAATACATAAATCAGTTAAGCTGTTTCTCTAATTGCAATTAATAATTGATTTAAAAATTTTCCATATTAGTAATGTATTAAAGATGCAGTAGCTCTGTTGAAGTGAAAACTATAGCAAGAAATTTCTAAAGTTAATTTTTCTCATCCAACATAAATGGAATATTAGAAGTTTTACTGAATGTTATTTTATTTTTACTTTTTTAAAGGGACTCTAAAAGTTTAAGGTGTTATTTACTACACGTAAATATTCGTGTAGTATACTACACGAATTCGATTGCATACTACATGTTCAGATTGCTGGGTAAGGATGTTAGAAATGAAATTGGTTTTGGTCACCATTGCTAGTGGATGTAAAGAAATGACTGTGGTAGCAAGTTAGAATGCCATGATATGGAGCCATTTACCCTGCCATTCATTTTTCACTTCTCAAAAGGAATGATGTTTCTATATCGTTTGTTAAATTTTCTAACATGCCCATGGAGGAACGCTCTTGAATGCTCATTTGAGGAGCATACAGTGTTGTCTTTGTCAGTATTTGGGGTTTTATCTTTTTCTGATTGATGGAATTGCAGCAGGATGAATAAATACATAGGCCATTAATATATATGATGAGCAAATGTGTTGAAAATTACAGTTTTTACAGGAATAGGCAGTTATGCTTTTACAGCTTAGGACAGGAGATTATTTGATTTGGAATTGTGGTGATGAAATTTTCATGGAGTGTTAGGGCCAGGGCTTTTGCTCGTGGTTTGGAAAAGATGTTAGTAAGCACCAAAGGGTGATGGCATTGTCCCAAGGACAAATAATAATAGCGCAACATTTCTACAGTTTGTTTTTTTAACATTAAAAATAAATCTAAAATGGCAATAATGGAAATAACATATAGATCAGTAGACAAACCAGTTGGAAATTTTACCGTTTAGCTTATGTATATCTTTTTTTCATTGTCCATCTTTAAGCTTTTATTTCCACATCTTTTCCTTTTTTTTCCTTATAGTTTCTGGGTTTATTTATTTGTTTATTTATTATTATTATTTTTTGAGACGGAGTTTTGTTCTTGTTGCCCAGGCTGGAGTGCAATGGTGCAATGTCGGCTCACTGCAACCTCTACCTCCCGGGTTCAAGCGATTCTCCTGCCTCAGCCTCCCAAGTAGCTGGGATTACAGGCATGCGCCACCATGCCCGGCTAATTTTGTATTTTTAGTAGAGATGGGGTTTCTCCATGTTGGTCAGGCTGGTCTCGAATTCCTGACCTCAGGTGATCCGCCTGCTTTGGCCTCCCAAAGTGCTGGGATTACAGGTGTGAGCCACTGCGCCTGGCCTAGTTTCTGGGTTTTTTTGAGGCATTTCATTTTGAATCAAATTCACATGTATTTCTAAGCCTTATCCCAATATAGCTTTTCTGTATCACCCATGAAGGAAGCATAAAAAAGAACTTCAAATGCACCTACCTCACTCATATCAAAACTTTCATCTGCAGCAGAAAGCTGACTATCTGAAATTATATATTTTTCAGTTCTTAGAAATAATTATTTCTGGAAAATTTTTCATGGATGCTACAACTAGGTATAACTTATTACAGAAAAGGAAGGTAGTATGACCCAAAGCAAATTCAAAAATTTTAAGTTTTGTTTTGCATATTGAATGAAAGAAAAGACAAAGACTTTTTAAAGGGAGTGATTTCCTCTTGGGTATTATGTTTTTTGCTCTAGGGTCATTTGAAAACAATACTGACGAGATTCGCTTTTCTAGTATAGGTATAACAATATTACATTTATAAAAATGTGAGTACTGGTAGCTATAAGATTTGGGACAGATAAATCAACCTGTTCATCTTGAGTTTATACACAGGCAAGAGAACTGAAGCAAAAGGATTATCTTAGGTTTCTGCTGTGCCATTCTAGGATTTTTATAAAATTAAACTAAGTGGGTAAATATAGCCCTCTAGTGGTTCTGTTTTATGCTTACACTGTTAACTTTGGTGCATCTAAGCATTTCTCTAATGTTTACTGATTTTAGGAAACTGAGGAGAATCAGATTTTAATAATGTTAATGGCATAAAGAATATGGGAAAAAAGGTAATAGGGATACCTTATTATTCTAACAAAACATGCTCAGGTTGGTTTTCAGGTTGTAATGTGATAATCCAGAATATTTTTATTCTGTACTTTACAATATCAGTGATTGAATTCAGATACTCTGGCAAAGTATACAATGATTACTATCATCAGATAATATTAATTACTCATGTGCATATCAAACTATAGGGGAAATTAACGGATGGTGGAGTTGATCATATTATATCCATGCTATGAAATACATAGCTACTAATAAATTAGACTTTATTAGATTCTGGGTTTATTAACTTGGATATTATAATACAGCCTTATGGGAAAACAAGTTGCATTATATATATACATTTGTACTTATTTTTTTCCCTCATTTTTATTTACAAGAAGAAAGTGGAGGAAACCTGAAACACTTGTATGAATATGTGTATAAGCAGAGAAAAGCCTAAGAAAGGATATGCACCAAACAATACTGGTACCTTTAGGAGAGTGAGATTTGGAAGTAGGAAGGAGACTACTTCTTTGTCACTAATATTTAAATTGTTAAGAAAAAAAAAACAACAAAAGGAGCCGAAATGGAAAGACTTGAATGGTCAACAGAAAACAGGGACCTTAATCCGAATAGTTTTAGAGGACTAAGGCTGGCTCCTATACTGATTTCCTGAGTTTGTTTATTGTTAAATGGGATGTGTGTGCTTGATAATCTCCTTAGATAGAAGACTGATGCCCAAATAGGTTAAAATGTGTGGTGCTTGGTATTTCTTTTTGTTTTGCTAATAAGCTTTTCCCTTATTCTGGGAATTAAAGTCCTTTCCTCTTTAGCCCAATTAAATTTGTTAAGGGAGGGCCTCTATGAAAAGGCCCTTCTTTGAGGTCTCTAAGTGGAAATGATTGGTCCTAAAAAATCTTTCCTCAGTAGCTCATAAAGCAGTTCATAATTATCGAAGGCTTATTATGAAGGGTGTTTCGGTATCTTCCCTCCAAAATGCTAAGAAATAATTTAGGCAACAGTTCAGACTCTAAAAATGAAGATGGCTCGGTCTTTTCACAGACTGAACACAATATTGTTGCAACTTACTTGATTATGGCAGGTATGGATATTTAAGTAAGTTATTTTTCTTTAGAATGGGTGAAGAAAGGCAGAAGTTTTCAGCATAAGGCATGCATTGTTTCAAGTTCCATATTATTGGCCAACCTTGACAAGTCATTTATCCTGACTTGGCTTGCTCGTTGGTAAATGAGGATGATGATACTCTATTTCTGGGCTGTAAAGATCAAATAAGATAATGTGGGTGAAAGAATAAGGGAAAGCATTGTTAGTGATGGCCATTGCCACAGGTTATTTTGAATTTTGGTAAATAAGAGCAGTGAAGTGGGGCTGAGAAAAGTTTTCTATGTGATAAATAGTTCTTTCATAAAAATCTATGTATTTGATTATTGGATTGTTAAAGTTTTTATTGGAGAAGAGTATGCACCATGGCAAAAACATATTTTTATGTCATTTACTATTCTTATACATAACCCTCATATTTTTGTTCTTGGTGGTAGAATTTAGCTAAGAACTTAAAGGTTCTGGAAAGAAAAAGTCCTAAGAAGACAGAGCAGGGTATATTGTCATTGAGGACAGAGTCTGAAAATTCAGCTTGTTCCAGAATGCTTATTGGAAAACTCTTGAGTTTTGGATTTCATCTTTTAGTATATTTGCAACTGTGAGCATGTATCTTCCCTTTTTGTTCTTCCATTTTCTCATCTGTAAAACAAGGATAAGAATAAGTTATCTGTCATGATTGTTATAAGGAGTAAAATTAAGTGACACATAAATGCCATATAGTAGGTGTTGGACAAATATTTGTTTCTTTTTCCCTTTCCTCCCTACACACTCATTGATGTAAAGGATTGTTTGCAGAAAAAAAGGGATGGGGGAATGACAGAAACTTTTTATCTTTTTAATGTATCATTGAATTGTGTAACTTTTATATTGAGCAATCACTTAATTTTCAACTTTATACTCTAACGAGTTGTAGAAGTAACTCTTATATTGAGTTCATTATTTTTTGGATTGACTTTTATAAAAATTTTCAAACATTCAAAAGTAGAGTGAAAAGTATAACACACCATCCTATACCCAGTTTATAATTGTTTACGTTTCTTCCTTATAATTCAGCGTATTACTTCTAGTACTGGAAATTGAGTTCCTCAGTTAAGTTTTGCGATTTTAGTGACGTTATCTCGTTCATTTGAATACCTCTATGATAAGTACTAGACAAGTTCTAGTTTTTTTGTAATTGCAAAAAAGACTGAGAAAATCTCCTAACAATTACATGGAAATACTTTGTATACAAGTGTTTGGTTTAGTTAGTTATTTGTAGATGACCAAAAAAAAAAAAAATCCAAAAAACAACCAAAACTATCCTTTTTTGACCTGGTTACAAAATTAGCATGCAGAAAATATTCTATTTAGTTCTTATCTCTGTAACAGTAATAATAATAGTAATCTTACTACTACTGCTACTAATGTTATCATTTGAATACTTGCTATATACCAAGCACTGTTCTAAAACCTTACACATACAGAATAATTCATCCTTACACTAATTTAGTAAGTTACTCTTCAGTTTTATTTCTCTAGTTTATACAGATGAAGAGCTTAAGAAACTTGTCCAGCACACACATTTACTAAGCAGCTACACCAGGATTTGAACCCAGGCATTTTGGTTCTAGAGCCCTCACATATAAATCCAAGAGTCAGCTTTATCAAGGTATACAATGAGTGTGTGTTGTTTGTGTTTCTGGTGGATCCACTGAAGGAAGCATAGCTGAACTCTTTATGCTTTTGTTCTGCCCCTGTATCAAGCATCTATTTTTCTTTAGATCCCCTAACTTTCCTCCTTTAACAAAACTCACTTAAAGTTGCAAATCAAAACCAAAACTATGAGGAAAGGGTGTAGTGAAAGCATTTATTTCATTCGTTACTTTTACCAAGGGCCTATTTAGATTTTTTATTTAATTTTTAATTTGATCTTTCATTTATAGTTTGGCTCCTATAAACTGTTACAACTTCCAGTGCAACAGACATTTTGTTAATTTAGTGTCCTTGAGCACTCTCCCTTTCCCCAGTTAAGGCTGGGAGGTAAGAGGACATGGTGAATTTGAGGATCTGAAATAAATCATTATGTTTGAACTGTAAAATGAAGGGTGAGAGGTTGAAAAAGATGGCTGAGTACCAGACAGTGATGAGCCGTGTAAGTTTTAAAGGTGACAGGGAGTCACTGAAGGGTTTGAAATGGGAGTGACATGATCTGATTTGTGTTTTAGAAATGTGCTATAGTGGTAGCTAAGGGACCACATAGGAGGCCATTGCAGTGATTCTGAGGAGGGAGTAATCGCAGTGGGGACAGAAAAAAGTAGATACATTCAAGAGCCAGAAGG